>NC_000003.12:195819567-195970566 GCF_000001405.40 Homo sapiens
CAATTAACCCTTTTAATGTTGATGGTCTAATGGCGGAAGCAGAGCTGACAATGGGGCCGGGCGCTGTGGCTCACGCCTGTAATCCCAGCACTTTGGGAGGCCGAGGCGGGCAGATCACCTGAGGTCGGGAGTTCAAGACCAGCCTGACAAACATGGAGAAACCCCATCTCTACTAAAAATACAAACTTAGTAGAAATGTTGGTGGTGTGCACCTGTAGTCCCAGCTACCTGGGAGGCTGAGGGAGGAGAATCACTTGAACCTGGGAGGCGGAGGTTGCAGTGAGCTGAGATCACACCACTGCACTCCAGCCTGGGCAACAAGAGCGAAACTCCGTCTTGAAATAATAAAATAAAATAAATAGAATAATTACTCCGGAAGCCTAAAAATGATGGGTGGATTAAAGACTCTGCAGGTGGGTGGGGAAAAGGTGGAGAACCCCTTCCCATCCCAGCTCTTTCCTGGGTGAGCTCCCAGCTATGATCCAGGACCAACTGCCAGGCTTCTCATTTTGATACTGGACACTATGCTTAGCCCAGCGACTGTCCTGAAGAAAGTGATCCAGACAAAATTTGAACAGAGAAAGAAGGCAGTGAGATTAGCCCATCAGGCTGGAAAGTGAGACTTGTTCCTTGTTCCCCTTGCTCCCTGGGGAGAGGAGGCACCAGCTGAAGCTGGCCAGGGGACAGAAGAGGGGTCTGGTGAGCTCTGCTCCCCGGTGTGCAGGGGAGGCAGAATGCAGGCAGAGGAGCAGCCTGACAATGCGACGGACACATTACCACGTGGCCCTATGTGCCCTCACGGGGTCACGAGCTAGTGGAATCTAAACATGGAGAGAGGATCATTTAGCAACAGGGTCTGTGGCCCTGGGCATGACTGTGTGCCAGGCAACAGACAAGCCTCAGTGAGGGCCATCCAGGAAGGCCTCTGCCTTAGTGCTCACAAACTCGGTGGCTTCAAACAAACAGGAATTTATTCTTTCACAGTTTGGAACCCAGAAGTCCAAAATCAAGGCGTGGGCAGAACCACACTCCCTCCGGAGGTTCTGGGGTGGAGCCCTCCTGGCCTCTCTCCTGGTTTCCAGGGGTGGCTGGCCATTCTCCGCATTCCCGGGCTGGCAGCCGTGTCCCTCCAGCCTCTGCCTCCATCGTGTTGTGTGGCCATCTTCTCCCCTGTGCGTGTGTCTCTGTTTCCTCTTCTCATAAGGACACCAGTCACTGGATTAGGCTCTGCCTCAATTCGGCATGACCTCAGTTTAACTTAACTAATAACCTCTGCAAAGACCCTATTTCCAAATAAGGTCACATTCTGAGTGACATGAATTTTGGGGGACACGTACTCACCCCAGTACAACCTCCTTGAAGAAAATTTGGGGCAGGGTAGGTGTATGGGTCATGACAATAGATGATTCTTGCCGAATGATGACCTATTTGGGAAGACCAGCAGGTGTGCCCACATCACCCTGGGCTGGCTCTGGAAATCCCCCAAATCTCGGCTCTTGTCACCACTGAGTCAGGAGCCAGGCGGCATGACCAAGGGACCAGCTTGACTATTCCTCGATCTAACTTCTTGGATCATGAGGCCAGGCAGATGGCAGCCCCAGGAGCCCTCAGCTGTAGCTCATCAGGCCCGTGCTGAGACCACCCCCTCCCCTGCCCAGGAGGGCAGAAAAGCAGGGCCCAGGCAGCAGTGGCCACACCTGCCTCAGTGGTTTCAGCCCTGCTCTCTCAAAGGTTGACCTGCTATTGACTGGAAGGTATCACATTCCCTTGTTTCCTTCTGTAACCAGAGAAGAAGGTAAGGGGTAAGGGTGGGAGAGGGGAGAGAGACAGGACAGTATATCTAAAAATAAACGTACCCCACCTCAACCTCAAGCATTGCACAGAAAGGTGTGTCCGCCTGCTCTTCACCCGCCTGTGACCCCCGCATTCCCTCCAGGTGAGCAGGAGCCCGACCTAGACACTCTCTTTAGCCTACACATGCCAGACTCTCCCTTTAGAGGAAAAAGGGACTTCTCACCAAGCCACACCCCTTGAAACTGCTTCCTCGGGTGCACCTGGAGTGTTCTCACTCCTCGGCCCCAGTTCCCACTCACACTTCCTGGAGCTGGAGGAGGGGGCAAGAGGGTGATGCGTCATAAGCCTGCATGGACATTGTCACTGAAATGAAAGCTCAGCTTCCAGGGTCCGGAGACGGCTTTGGCCCCAAGGTGCCAGGGACAGCATAAGCTGCCGGGACCTGGCGAGGCCCAGGGGGCGAGCCTTCGGGCAACATCTAGCCTGGCACTCCTGGTTTCGTGCTGGAGGAGCAGGGTGAGAGAGGGGCTACTGTTGAGCTGTAGGAGGCAGAGTGGGTGCTGGGGGAAAGAGCAGGAGCTTTGGAGTCACTGTGGGCAAGCCACTTCCTAGCTGAGCCTCAGTCTCCATGTCTGCACAGTGGGGAGAGTAGACGTAATTCCTATTAGCTTAGTACGTCGTAGATTCTCAGCAAATGTTAGCGTCCCCACGCCACCGCCCCCCAGATGTGGGCATGGAAAGAGAAACAAACTATTTGGAAGGAGAGTCTGGGGTTGTTCTGGGTGGAGGGCCAGGTCATAGACATGATGTGGTGGCAATGCCTGATTCTGGCTGAGGGAATCATTCTGGAATGGTGAGGGGGTGGATCTGGCCACAGGGCTCAGGAGACTATTGTCGTCTCAGGGGTCCTCACAAAGTGGCTGGGCCAGGTGAGCTGGTGTTTCTTATATGCGGGTAAAGGTGTTGCTCGTATGCAGGTAAAGGTGTTTCTCGTATGCGGGTAAAGGTGTTTCTCGTATGCGGGTAAAGGTGTTTCTCGTATGCGGGTAAAGGTGTTTCTCGTATGCGGGTAAAGTGTTTCTCATGCAGGTAAAGGTGTTTCTCATATGTGGGTAAAGGTGTTTCTGATATGCAGGTGAAGGTGTTTCTCATATGCGGGTAAAGGTGATTCTCACATGCGGGTAAAAGGTGTTTCATGCAGCAGTTGGCAAGTTGGTAACTTCTTCAAGCCCTGTGATTTCGAGATGGGGAGAGAAGTCTGTGAGAATGCAGTTTTGAGAAGCAGAAGCAATGAGGTCGCATCAGCCTACTGCCGAGCATAACACACAAGGGCAAAGAAGACGGGGGTCTGGGATTGGAGGGCTTCTTAAAATTCTGACACTAGACCAACTTTCCAAGTTGTTAAAGCCTGCAGACCCCAGATGTAATCTGTCAGTGTGAGAGGAGTTAAATGTCAGCTCCAATATCTACATTATAATAATTGATACATATTACCTAATAATCAATATATTGTGATGTTATATCATAGCATTTATTACATACAACACAGTTACTATTATATTAGCTTCATCTACATGTGAGATCTGCTTTTTAAAAAACTTACTTTATTTTTTATAGAGATAGGGTCTTACTTTGTTGCCCAGGCTGGTCTTTTTTTTTTTTTTTTTTTTTTTTGAGACAGAGTCTCACTCTGTTGCCCAGGCTGGAGTGCATGATCTCTCTGCCTCCCGGATTCAAGCGATTCTCCTGCCTCACCCTCCTGAGTAGCTGGGATTACAGGCGTGCGCCACCACGCCCAGGTAATTTTTGTATTTTTAGTAGAAACGGGGTTTCACCATGCTGGCCAGGCTGGTCTCAAGCCCCTGACCTCAAGTGATCCACCCGCCTCGGCCTCCCAAAATGCTGGGATTACAGGCATGAGCCACCACGCCTGGCCAAGATTCACTTAAAAAAAAAAAACTGCTTTAAAAACATTCATAAGCCGTTATTGCCTGGAGAGTCTTTGAATGTGTCACACCCTTTAACACGCAGGAGCAGCCAATCCCCAAAGCCCTGGTCACGTGATGACAATTAGGCCACCTACCCTCCGTTATTCTGGCCCCTCTGCCAAGAGGCAGGCCCTCACCCAACTGACCCTACCAGCGCAGGGGCCTGAGTGCGGCTCTCCAAAGAAACTTGATGTTGGCATTCAGCCACAAGCCCGGCTCTCAGAGGAACCTGGTGTGGGAAAGACGCCCCACCTCCAGCCCCTGTGCCGTCAGAGTCAAGATCACTGTACTTTGCATAAAGTATTAGGAAAAAACCCAAATTCTTGCTCTTTGATTAGAGCCTCTCCTTCTTTCCCCACCAGCCCTCTGCAGAAGCAAGAGGCAAAACTAAAACTCAGGTGTTTTTATCCGTGAGTCTGTGTTTCTGTGTAAGTGATCTATGCATTTAAAAACCAATAACTTACTTTATCCTTCTCAGGACCTGAAGTATGGTCTTTCATCAGATGCCTACAGAGGGTAGGAAGGCCAGGAAGAGGTGGGGAGGGCAGGAGGGGAGCGCTGAACAAATGTAGAGGTTGGATCCAGGCGTGCGGATCAGACCTTGAACTAAGGAGCCATGGAGAGCACAGAGCCCCCAGGGACACGGGAAGACGGTTGTCCTGGGTAGATGGCAGCTCCAGAAGCCCCCAGCTGTGCCTCATCAGGCCCATGCTGAGACTACGGTCTCCTCTGCCCAGGAGGGCCACAGACAAGTGGAGAAAGCAGAAAAGCAGGGCCTGGGTGGCGCTGGCCTCACCTGCCTCCATGAGGCGGACAGGAGCCTCGCAGCCGTGGACGCAGCCCAGGCCAAGCCATGCAGGGAGTAGTAACAAGAATAAATGAAGCCGTGAAGCCAGGGCCCCTTTGGCGCTTGTGCAACCGCCAACCTGCGTAGTTCTGTGAGCACTGGGACACGTGTTGGTGCTGACTCATCAAAATCCCGGGACTGTGTGGTTTTGGACACTGCTGGAGTCCAGGTGCCCTGTGTGGTTTTGGGCACTGCTGGAGTCCAGGTGCCCTGTGTGGTTTTGGGCACTGCTGGAGTCCAGGTGCCCTGTGTGGTTTTGGGCACTGCTGGAGTCCAGGTGCCCTGTGTGGTTTTGGGCACTGCTGGAGTCCAGGTGCCCTGTGTGGTTTTGGGCACTGCTGGAGTCCAGGTGCCCTGTGTGGTTTTGGGCACTGCTGGAGTCCAGGTGCCCTGTGTGGTTTTGGGCACTGCTGGAGTCCAGGTGCCCTGTGTGGTTTTGGGCACTGCTGGAGTCCAGGTGCCCTGTGTGGTTTTGGGCACTGCTGGAGTCCAGGTGCCCTGTGTGGTTTTGGGCACTGCTGGAGTCCAGGTGCCCTGTGTGGTTTTGGGCACTGCTGGAGTCCAGGTGCCCTGTGTGGTTTTGGGCACTGCTGGAGTCCAGGTGCCCTGTGTGGTTTTGGGCACTGCTGGAGTCCAGGTGCCCTGTGTGGTTTTGGACACTGCTGGAGTCCAGGTGCCCTGTGTGGTTTTGGGCACTGCTGGAGTCCAGGTGCCCTGTGTGGTTTTGGGCACTGCTGGAGTCCAAGTGCCGCTGGGGCTGCCTCGGGGAGGAGGAAAGTTTCCAGAAGAGCTTACGGAAGAGCCTGCGGCTTGGGAGCAGCATCCCCCAGCTCGCGTGCTGGGTGGGAAGTGCCGAGGGGCTGTGCAGAGGGCTCTCGTGTTTGGGGATTTTCTCGGGACGGCTGTTTTCTACTTGAAATGGGGGTCCTGGAGTTCATGGGGAATGAGAGAGGTGAGCGGGAGCCAGAACGGGAAAGTCCTTGTCCGGGGGCTTCCGCAGGAGCCCCCTTGGCCCCTGGCCAGACACTTCCAGCTTCCCTCTGGCCCCAGAGATTCCCCTCGGGGTCAGGCCCTGCCTACCTGCCTCGGCCTCGCGGTCGCCTTCCTGCCCCTCAGGAAGCCCTGCCAAGGTCCCCTGAAGGCCCGCATGCTTGCCCGGAGGAGGCCGCTCCTCATGTTGCCCCAGGGACTGCCCCCAAGGCTTCCTTCTTCAGGGAAGAGGCGGCTCTTGGCCAGGGAGTTGTTGGGGCTGTTTCCAACCCAGGCAAACCTTCGCTTCCTCTCCTGCCCTCCTGCCCCGGGTTTTTCCCCAGACAGACCTACGGGTGCCAGTGCCAGTACGGGTGCCAGTGCCCCAGCCTCGCCTCCCCTGCAGCTCCCTCCTGGGCCAGGCCGAACACCATCGTTTCACAGTCCACTTACTGAGCTGAGAAGACCTCCTCGTATGAAGATCTGGGAAGGCCTGAGCTTTCACCGGCCTGCAAGCTCACGGGCGAGCCTGCCATGGTTGAAGGACGCTGGCAGAAGACCAGAGACCCTGGCCCAGGGCAGAGGACTCTGTCACTCACGGCACGGCACGTTGCTCAGTGTGAACGAGCTTCCTCTTCACTCCCGTTTCCTTTGCTCCCCAAACCCCACGGGGGCTACGCAGAGGCCCAGGTGGATTCTGTGGCACAGCTGGGTTTGCCTCACCGCCGGGGATCCCCGTGCTTAGGAAACGCCGGACTGTCATGAGGGGCTGCGAAGCAAACCTGCCCAACCTTTCCCGGGGGTGGACGTCGTCTTTGTTACACTGGACAGCGAGCAAATCTCGCTTCTGCCCCAGAGGGAGACGCTGTCCCTGCGCGCCGAGACTTTCACTATATACACGTCCTTGACGAGAGTCCAGAGCAAAAGGCCGTCGGCGCATCTGCTCCTGAGACTTGCAGAAACGTGGGGAACCAGTGAAAAATTGTCTCCGACATCCGAGACCCAGAGGAAGCCCAGGCCAACGGGCGCAGGGTGCTGGCTTTTCCGCTGCCTTAGGTTTCACCGCGGGTGCCGTCTAGCCCCGTCCCCCACGTCTCCGTGGCCAGCACAGGGCCCGAAATGAGACCGCTCATAAATAACTGAAAAAATCACACTTACCTCAGATTGTACCCTACTATGTCAATCATGTTGGAACAAATTAGCGTTTCTGAAACAAGAGTTATGGCAGAAGTGACTGCGATGTTCCGATGTTTCTAGGTGTTGGCACGGATACTGTTCGGTCCCAACCCCAGGAGGTAGTTACTGGGAGCCATTCTGAGGAGGGAGTGCTGAGGACTCCCCTCAACAAGGGGCTGTGGCCAAGGAAAGGGGCCCTGAGAGACCTCACACAGAGCCCCCCAGTCGCATACGGCACGGCTGAACTCTCCTGGCTTCCCAGAGAATCCAGAAGGAAAGGGCGGCCTCCCGCAGCCCCCGCCAGCCAGCTCAGGGGCAGACGGCCTAGTGGGGCCCTTGCCCAGCCACCCGCCTATCTATTGGCTAAAAAAATGTAAAAACAAAAATCACTCTTCCCATACTACTCTTTTTCTCCTTCCCTCTTTTTAAAATCCTGTTTTTGCTTTTGTTCATTGACAGCAGCCTAAAAAGTGTTCTTCCTCATATATGGGAGTTAATTCTTTTTGTTTTTTTGAGACGGAGTCTCACTCTTGTCACTGAGGCTGGAGTGCAGTGGTGTGATCTCAGCTCACTGCAACCTCCACCTCCCAGGTTCAAGCGATTCTCCTGCCTCAGCCTCCTGAGTAGCTGGGATTACAGGCGTGTGCCACCACCCCCAGCTAATTTTTTGTATTTTTTGTAGAGACGGGGTTTCACCACGTTGGCCAGGATGGTCTTGAACTCCTGATCTCAAGGCTCACTGCAACTTCTGCCTCCCGGGTTCAAGGGATTCTCCTGCCTCAGCCTTCTGAGTAGCTGGGAGTACAGGCCTGTGCCACCACGCCAGGCCAATTTTTGTATTTTCAGTAGAGACGGGGTTTCACCATGTTGGCCAGGATGGTCTCAATCTCTTGACCTCATGATCCTCCCACCTCGGCCTCCCAAAATGCTGGGATTACAGCGTGAGTCACTGTGCCCAGCCTAATTTTTGTATTTCTGGTAGAGATGGGGTTTCACCGTCTGGTCTGGTCTGAAACTCCTGACCTCAAGTGATCCACCGGCATTGGCCTCCCACAATGCTGGGATTACAGGCGTGAGCCACCGTGCCCGGCCTGACGCGGTGAAAGTCTGAAGATTCTACATCTACTCCTTCAAATTTACTTCTAGGAATTCACTCAAAGGGAATAGCCAGCCAAGTATACAAAAATGTTTGCGCATGGCAGCACTTGGAAACTACCTGCTGGCTTACGACTGGAGTTTGGTGATTATAATGCATTAGTGCAATGGAATACAAAATATTCTTTAAAATGATCTTGTGGAAGGCCAGGAGTGGCAGCTCATGCCTGTAATCCCAGTATTTTGGGAGCCAAGGCAGGTGGATGAATTGAGCCCAGGAGTTTGAGACCAGCCTGGCCAACACGGTAAAACCCTGTCCCTACTAAAAATACAAAAATTAGCCGGGCTTGGTGGATGTGCCTGTAGTCCCAGCTGCTTGAGAGGCTGAGGTGGGAGGATCTCTGGAGCCCCAGGGGCAGAGGTTGCAGTGAGTGGGGATAGCACTGCTGCACTCCAGCCTGGACGACAGAGCGCAATCCTGTCTCAAATAATAATAATAATAATAAACAGTAAATAAATAAACAAAATTTAAAGCTGATCTTGTGGAAGAATACAATTGACCATTGAACAATTCGTGGGTTAAAGGGCAGCAACCCCCGTGCAGCTGAAAATCCATAGATAACCTTTGACTCCCCAAAAACTTAACTACTAATAGTCTACTGTTGACCAGAAACCTTGCTGATGACATAAACAGTTAATTAACACATACTTGGTCTATGTATTATATCCTGTATTATTACAGTAAAGTAAGCTAGAGAGGAGGAACTGTTGTTAGGAAAATTATAAGAAAGAGAGAATATATTTATTATTCATTATGTGGAAGTGGATCATCACGAAGGTCTTCATTCTCGCCGACTTCACACTGAGCCAACTGAGGAGGAGGAGGAGGGTCAGGGGTTGGTCCTGCTGTCTCAGGAATGGCAGAGGTGGAAGAAAATCTGTGTGTAAGTGACCTGCCCCGTTCAAACCCACGTTGTTCAAAGATCTACTGTATATAGCAATCGGGTGACAGGTAATAAAACAGTGTGAAGTGACACGTTTATCAAATGGCTTATGCAGTATGATCCCAACTTTTTTAAAAAGCTACATAACATGAAAAAAAGCCCAGAATGAAATGTACTAAAGTGTAACATTGGCATTCTCTGAGTGCTAGGATTAGGGGTAACTTTCATTTTGTTCATTTTGCTTGTCGATCTTTTCAACACGAAGTATTATTTTATAATACAAAAATCTTGTGGGTTTTTAAAATGAAGCTGTATCTTCCAAATTGAGTTTTTCTCCGGTTAGTGTTAACAGAAGCCTGACTTGCTTGAGAAGACGGCCGCTGCTGGTAAAGGGACAAGAGGAATCCAGGGAGGAAGGAGGCAGGAAGGAGCGGGGCCTGCAGAGAACGCCAGGCCGAAAGGACCCCCAGGGCCAGCCGGCTTGAAGCCTTCCCTGGACTTGTGCCAGGCACCGGGCACTGCAAAAAGCTGTGTGTCTGCATGTGTAGAGAACTGCGTTACGAATCTTTTTCCTTTGTTGAGACAGTGTCTTGCTCTGTTGGCCAGGCTGGAATGCAGTGGTGCGATCACAGGTCACTCAACCACCGGGCTCAAGTGATCCTCCCACCTCAGCCTCCTGAGTAGCTGGGACCACAGGTATGTGCCATCATGCCCAACTAATTAAAAAAATTTTTTTGTGTAGAGACAGAGTCTTACTAGGTTACCCAGGCTGGTCTTGGGCTCCTGACCGCAAGCAATCCACCCGCCTCGGCCTCCCAAAGTGCTGGGATTACAGGCATGAGCCACCGTGTCCCAGGCAGAAATGTATTTTTATGTGAGTTGTAGTTAAAAAAAAAGTTGTGCAATATGACTCTATAGTAGCCCCTGCCAAGCCCTACAGTAGCCCACACCAAGCCTTACTGTAGCCCCTGCCAAGCCCTGCCCAGCCCTGGCTGCGCCCTTCTCGTAATAGGGAACTTGAGAACTCCCGATCTTTATGATGTTTCTTGACAATACAAACTGTTAGGCATTTTTATTATTATTATATTTAACAAGCGTTGGTTCCTCATCGTGCCCAGCCAGCTCCCCGCACCCCCTCTCTGGGGCAGCAGCTTAGATGTTGGAAGGCAGCCACCGTGTCACCCCCAAGTCCAGGCTTGCCTCCCCATCCCATCCCCAGCTCCTTAACCACCCTCCAGCACGAAGTTTTGAGCCACTTCCTTTTCTAAGGACACCCTCCCCACATCCAGGCCGCCTGGTCCATTCAAATATGATCCCCATCCTAGGACCAAGGCACTAAGCCAGGCCATGTTGCTCATTTATTAACCCATAGGTTCATTTGAAGATCATTAAGCAAGCACTGGCCGTGTTCTTGGCACTGCGCTGGGTGTAGGGGAGTCACCCAAAGGACAAAAAAGGCCCAGCCCCCTGCCTTGAGGAGCCCCCCATTGGGTGGGGTGAGGCAAGTTGGCCCAGGTCATCTTTGTCACAACGAAGCTGTGCTCCCCATGAGGGCTGGCTGGGGTCCGACGGGACTGATACTCATTCTGGCCGTGAGCCGAGAGAAGCCAGCCAGCCTCAACTGCACGGCCACGACCTGCCGCCCGCCCTCCAGCTCCTCTGGGCCGGCTCCCAGTCAGGGCATGTTTCTCCAGCAGGCAGCCTGGGAAGGTGTAGACCTCTGACCCCCGGCTGGGCCCCGTCCAGGCTTCAAGGACTCCTGAGGGCCAGCGGCCGGAATGACCACTTGAGAGAATGGACTTGCTACTAACTGTTGAACTCTGTCAGCGCCTTTCACACCGGTGGCTGATAAGAGATTAATTTCTTATCTTCTGATAAGAGATTACTTCTTATAAGTAATCTTATACTTCTGATAAGAGATTAATTTCCAAAATACATAAGGAATGCAAACAACTCTATAGCAAGAAGACAAGTAATTCAATTTTAAAATGTGTAAAGGACTTGAACGGACATTTTTCAGAAGAAGACATACAAAGGCCAACAGGTGTATGAAAAAATGCTCCATATCACTAACCCTCAGGGAAATGCAAATTAAAACCACAATGAGACATCACCTCACTCCTGTTAGAATGGTTTTCACAAAAAGACGAAAGATAGTAAGTGTTGGGGAGGATGTGGGGAAAAGGGAACCCTTGTATACAGCCGGGAACGTGAATTAGTACCAGCCATTATGGCAAAGTTTGAAGGTTCCTCAAAAAATTAAAAATAGAACTACCATAGGATCCAGCAATTCCACTGCATGGTGGATATCCAAAGTATATAAAAGCAGTGGCCGGCTGGGTGCAGTGGTCGGCTGGGTGCAGTGGCCGGCTGGGTGCAGTGGCCGGCTGGGTGCAGTGGTCGGCTGGGTGCAGTGGCCGGCTGGGTGCAGTGGTCGGCTGGGTGCAGTGGCCGGCTGGGTGCAGTGGCTCACACCTGGAATCCCAGCCCTTTGGGAGGACAACACAGGAAGATTGCTTGAGCCCAGGAGTTTGAGACCAGCCTAGGCAACATAGCGAGACCCTGTCTCTACAAAAAATTTTAAAAATTAGCCAGGTGTGGTAGTTCATGCCTGTGGTCCCAGCTACTCGGGAGGCTGAGGTGGGAGGATCACTTGAGCCCAGGAGTTCGAGGCGGCAGTGAGCTATGATCACACCATTGCATTTCTGCGTAGGTGACAGACAAGATTCTGTCTAAAAATAAAATAAAACAGGCCAGGCACGGTGGCTCACACCTGTAATCCCAGCAGTTTGGGAGGCCGAGGCGGGCGGATCATGAGGTCGGCAGATCAAGACCGTCCTGGCTAACACAGTGAAACCCCGTCTCTACTAAAACTACAAAAAATTAGCCAGGCGTGGTTGCGGGTGCCTGTGGTCCCAGCTACTTGGGAGGCTGAGGCAGGAGAATGGTGTGAACCCGGGAGGCGGAGCTTGCAGTGAGCCGAGATCGCGCCTCTGCACTCCAACCTGGGCAACAGAGCAAGACTCTGTCTCAAAACAAACAAACAAACAACAACAACAAAAACCACATTGATTTGTTCAGCAGCGATAGAAAAATAATAAACTAAAATCAGTATGTCAAAGAGATGTCTGCACTCCAGTGTTCACTGCAGTAATATTCACAATAGCCAAGATATGGAATCAACCTGTCTATCAACGAATAAATGGATAAAGAAAACATGGTATAGATATATGATGGAATACTACGTACCTTTTAAAAAAGGAAATTCTGTTCTGTGACAACATGGATAACTCTGGCCAACATTATGTGAAAAGGAATAAGCCACCCATAGAAGATAAATAATGCATGTTCTCAGTTATATGCGGAATGTTAAAAAGTCACACTCAGCAGGAACAGAGTCAAAAGGTGGTCACTGGAAGCTGAAGATGGAGGGATTGGGGAGACGTTGGTCAGAGGACACAAAACTTCAGTTAAACTGGAAGGATACGTTCGAAACTTATCCTTCGAAACTACTGCACACCATGGTGACGATGGTGAACGTATCATGCACTCGAAGATGGCTGACAGGGTAGATTCAAAGTGTTCTCGTTCGAGGCCGGGCGCGGTGGCTCACAACTATAATCCCAGCACTTTGGGAGGCCGAGGCGGGCGGATCACGAGGTCAGGAGATCGAGACCATCCCTGGCTAACACGGTGAAACCCCGTCTCTACTAAAAATACAAAAAATTAGCCGGGCGTGGTGGCGGGCGCCTGTAGTCCCAGCTACTCGGGAGGTTGAGGCAGGAGAATGGCGTGAACCCGGGAGGCGGAGCTTGCAGTGAGCCGAGATGGCACCACTGCACTCCAGCCTGGGCGACAGAGCGAGACTCCGTCTCAAAAAAAAAAAAAAAAGTGTTCTCGTTTGAAACATCCTTCGAAACTACTGCACGCCATGGTGACTGTGGTGAATGTATCATGCACTTGAAAATGGCTGACGGGGCAGATTCAAAGTGTTCTCGCCACACACAATCACACATTTGTAAGGTAACGCTGCGTTCACTAGCTTGATGTAGTCATTTTACAATGTATACATCTATCAAAACACCATGCTGGCCGGCGTGGTGGCTCACGCCTGTAATCCCAACACTTTGGGAGGTGGAGGTGGGAGGACTGCTTGAAGCCAAGAGTTCAAGACCAGCCTGGGTAACATAGTGAGGCCCCGTGTCTACCACACACACACACACACACAAAGTTAAAAAAATTTGAGAAAACCCACCATGCTGTACACAGAAATACAGATCATCTCTGTCAATTAAAAATAATTTTTAAAAAATTACAGCAGGTAAATATATATACAAGTAATCTCTACTCATTGAATATTTATTTATTTATTTATATTTGTGACAGAGTCTCGCTCCGTCACCCAGGCTGGAGTGCAATGGCACAATCTCGGCTCACTGCAACCTTCGCCTCCCAGGTTCAAGCGATTCTCCTGCCTCAGCCTCCCGAGTAGCTGGGATTACAGGCATGCGCCACCACAAGTGGCTAATTTTGTATTTTTGGTAGAGACAGGGTTTCTCCATGTTGGTCAGGCTGGTCTTGAACTCCTGACCTCAGGTGATCTACCTGCTTCGGCCTCCCAAAGTGCTGGGATTGCAGATGTCAGCCACTGTGCCTGGCCTGAATCTTTAAAAAGTAGATGTTAACACCCTGTTTTACAAATGAGAAAATTAAACTGAAAGGTTCATTTTTTGTTGAAACAATGTCTATTAAGTGCCTATCTGTGCCAGGGGTGAAGCTAGAAGCAGAGATAAAGGCAGTGGGGAGGAAGGCTGGTGTCTCTGCTCTCATCAGCCTGGTCTGGAAGCAGATAATAAACACAAAGGCCAGCAAATAATTATAACTGCCATAAGCATTATGAAGGGAAAGCAGAGACACTCTAGGGACATACAGCAGGGTACCGACTTTAGCTGGCAGTGAGAGGCTGGCAGAGGGATGCCTGACCAGGGGCCAGTGGAGGAGGGTGAGGTTAGCCAGGCAGAGGCTGGCACCACTGCTGTGGGCCGAGGATGGCCTGTGCTAAGGCCCTGAGGTAGAGAGACACTTTGCCCATCCTAGGATCTGAAAGAAGTCCAGGGGGATTGGAGCAGAGGGAGCGGGATGAGTGAGGTGGGCTTACACAGCGGGGGATTAGGGCAGAGGGAGCGGGATGACTGAGCTGGGCTTACACAGCGGGGGATTGGGGCAGAGGGAGTGGGATGAGTGAGCTGGGCTTACACAGAGGGGGATTGGAGCAGAGGGAGCAGGATGAGTGAGGTGGGCTTACACAGGGGGAGATTGGAGCAGAGGGAGCGGGATGAGTGTGGTGGGCTTACACGGGGGGGATTGGGGCAGAGGGAGTGGGATGACTGAGCTGGGCTTACACAGCGGGGGATTGGGCAGAGGGAGTGGGATGAGTGAGCTGGGCTTACACGGGGGGATTGGGGCAGCAGGAGTGGGATGAGTGAGCTGGGCTTACACGGGGGGATTGGGGCAGAGGGAGCGGGATGAGTGAGGTGGGCTTACACAGCGGGGCAGGAGGCAGGTTCTTTGGGTTTCCGAGCTCTGTGAGCATCAGAATGTCCTGAGGAAGCTGATTTCAGTGCAGGCTCTGGGGCCGGCCATGCCCTCCCTGGAGCCTCAGTCTGTGAGTCTTCCCTGGGACCTGTTTCCCCAAGTGGTGCCGAGGCAAATGGCCGGATGACGACATTTCAAGGGTGTTATTGGCCATCTGAAGGATCTGGGACTTTCCCTTTTTTTTTTTTTTTTTTTGAGACGGAGTCTTGCTCTGTGGCCTAGGCTGGAATGCAGTGGTGCGATCTCAGCTCACTGCAGCCTCCACCTCCTGGGTTCAAGCAATTCTCTGTCTCAGCCTTCCGAATAGCTGGGATTACAGGCACATGCCACCACACCCAGCTAATTTTTTGTGTTTTTAGTAGAGACAGGGTTTCGCCATGTTGGCCAGGCTGGTCTTGAACTCCTGACCTCATGATCCACCTGCCTCGACCTCCCAAAGTGCTGGGATTACAGGTGTGAGCCACCTCACCCGGCTGAATCTGGGACTTTTTCTAAGAAAGCAGAAGCCATTGCGACCAAAACCATTCAGCAGACAGGATTTGAACCCAGCTCGGTCTGATTCCAAAACCAGAAGGACACCATGTCTTCCTTAAAGGAAGAAGGCACATCAGACCATCTGTCAAGTGGGTCCACTGAGGGTCAGAGGAAGAGCCTCCAGATGAGGGAACGGTGTCAGCAAAGCCAGAGCCCACATGGGACGAGGCGGCCCCAGAGCCGATGGCCTGAGCAGAGCCAGTCGTGTGTGTTATGGGTTTTCGCCTTAGCAGAGGCCTCACAGGCTCCCTCCCCACGTGTGTCTGCATCCGAATCTCATTTTCGCTTTGCAATACCACTGTGAGAAGAGCCTGCTGGGAGGTTCTTCCCCTTTCCCAGATGGATACACTGAGGCTCATGCAGGTGACACCATTTACCCGATGACCTATGTAAAGTCAGAAAATGTGCCGGGGGTGCTGGGGCCCCGGGAGGAGGTTGAGCTGGACTCGCCACTGGGCAGCCAAGGAGGCTGGGTGGTCCTGGCACACACAGAGGTCATGGGGCAGCATGGCCCCTGCTGTCGTCGACCACTTGGAGACTGGAGGACTTGGCCTTTGGATTTGGATAGAGGAGCCCTCTGTCATGGGTGCTGTTCAGTTCGGGGAGGTCACGGAGGTCCCCAAATGGGGATGGTCTCACTGCCGTGCCGCCTTTGCTGGCTCCTCCCCACCCTGCGACTCAGTTTCCTCGTCTGTGAAATGAGGTTGAGCTAGTTGGTCACTACCCAGTTCAGCTCTGACACTGTCGGACTCTGAGTCTGCCTGGGTGGGTCTCTGATTCCGCATGGGTGGGTCTCTGATTCCGCATGGGTGGGTCTCTGATTCCAGAGGATGCTGGCACAATGAGAGTTTTGGGGCTGGGACCGAGGTGATCGGGTGCCAAGAGGAACAAGGAAGTAAGGGGATGTTTCAAATACAGTTTCATTCCGGGTTGCTCTGAGAACTGAGTGGGGAACAGGCCCTGACGGCATCCAGGGACAGGGCCAGGACGTGTGGGGGTTAGGGGGGTGCAGGGAGTGGCAGGCCTGTCCCAGCTCCGTCTACTAGCAGAAGAATGGGCAGCCGTGAGCTCAGGTGCGCCAGGCAGGGGAAATGGAATCGGCCGTCATGGATGTCCTGGCAGAAGTGGAGGCCGAGGAGGTCCTCTAGAAAGGGGTCTCACCCTTCTCCACAGGCCCACAAGGAGCCTCTTTCTCCTTTCACACCCAGGACGGGCCAGCAGGACCAGAGCAGTGGCCATTGAAAGTAACGTCCAAACAGGAAGATAAGGCCCAGGAGGCTCTGAGTCCCGGGTTCCCAGAGCTTTCCTGCCGCCACCCAGAAGCCCAGCAGGGCCCTCACTGGCAGCTGGCCCTTCCTCCCCAAGAGCCAGAGCTCAGACGGAGGCTCTCCCAGGGATGGCCTCCACCAGGGCTGCAGCAGAGCCTCGGCCATCTCTCAGCCCTCCCGGACAGGGAACCCCCTCCTCCCGGTTGGTTCTCCTGGGGTGAGCTTGCATGGCAGCCTGCTTCCTCCCACCTCCTGTTCCCTACACCGTCCCCACCACCGCCCTCCCGCATCAGGCCCCTGTCCTGCCTGCCCGTGCCTGATCGCCTGTACCCCGATCCATCGCTCTTCTTCTCCTCACTTCTCTCCTCCCTCGTGCACCTCTGGCCCCTGCCCATTGCTGAGATGGTTGACCCCTTTGGCCCTCAGCAAATTTAACATTCAGGAAAGGTCCACATTTCATAAATCCCTGTAATTCTAGGGTTGGGAGATGCTCCATCGAAGGTCACTTTGGCCCATCCCGGCAGCCCAGGATTGAGGTCTCCACCTTGCCCCAGACACAGCCAGCCCCTCAGAAACCAATGCCTACCAGCCAGACCCACGGGAGGACAACCGATGTACAAACCAGAAGGCCGGTGTATTAATTTAAAATGGAAAGCAGAACTCCCAAGCTGGCTGAATGCTTCATTTGCAGGTTGATTTATTCTCCCCTGTGTGGGTCTGTCAGTCTTCCATGGAGGCTGATGGAGGCTGTCCCTTTGCAAGGATTGTGTCTGGTGACGGGGCTGCCCCTTCACAGCTTCTGGATAGCTGAAGACTCAAATTGGAAAGCTTGACGAGCCTAGAAACAGGATTAGGGGAGAGGAGGGTGTGAGACTGCATTTCCCAAAACAGAGCATTCTTGCATGAACAGCTTTCCAAAAAAAGAAAAAAAAAAAAGACACCGTGGATAATGAAGCTTGCAGAAGGCTGCGCTCACCCGCTTCTGGAAATTCGCACTGTGCATCGGCCTCATCAAAGCTCTGAAACAAACACCACCTTACAGGAAGTTTTCCAAACTGACCTGACCACGAAGTGTTTTCCCTCACCCTCCCTAATACTGTCCGACGGGCAAGGCCAGGCTACTGCCAGGAATGATTTCCCAGGCCTCTCTGAGGTGGGGAGGTGGGGAGCTGGGTCCCCGTGTCCAAGGCCCCTGCCCTCCCACCAGGCTTTTTCCTGGGAGCAGCCTCCCAGGATGCCCCCTTCTTGTTCTCCTTTGACCGGCTTTTCAGGTACATCCTTTCTCGATCCATGTCACTGATGCTGCCTAGGCACTGAGGGCCTGCTCCACCCTGATGTCAGCCGGGGAGGCCTTTCTGTGCAACAGAAATACCACACCAGCAACACAGGGACAAAAGGAACAGGTTACAGGGATTAAACACAAAAACATAAACTGTGGGTGCCCTGAACTAATAAAGGAGCAGATGTCCTCAAGGGATTTAGACACAGAGGCATGGACCTGGGCTGAGTTTTGGGGTGAGGTGTGGGGAAACCAGAATTGCTCCAGTTTATAGAGTGGCCAAGATCTGCAGGGTCAGGGATGATCTGGGAGGGAGGGGTGAGGAGAGCCTTGGAAAGGAAGACAAAGCCAGATCTAGCAAATAAAAATAGAGAATATCCAGTTAAATGTTACTTTCATATAAACAGTAGATGATTTTTTTAAGTATTATAATCACATACAAGATTTGGGAACCCTTATACTAAAGAAGATTTGTCATTTATGTGAAATTCAATGTGGCTGAAGATCCTGTATTTTATCCGGTAATCCATGCAGTAGCAGGAGGGGGAGGCTCCGTTGGGGGGCAGCAGGGTTGCGGGTTGGGGGAGAGACTGCCTGCCTCTTGGCGACAGGCAGCAGCTGGCCATGCAGCATGGCCAGTGGCCTGGAGATCACAGTCAGAGCTCTCCAGCAGGCGGGTGCCTCACGGAGATGGGGCATGGGGGCAGAAATCAAAGAGAAACGCCACATCTCACACTGGGATTGACGCAGGGACAGAGGACGAAGCAGAAATGCCTTGTGGGATGTGCAGCCCAAGAAGCCACAGGCAGGACATGGGAGCCGGAGGCGGCACGAGAGCGTCACCCGCACCAAAGGATTCTCGGGGTCTCGGGACTTGGGAGCCGGAGGCGGCACGAGAGCGTCACCCGCATCAAAAGATTCTCGGGGTCTCGGGACTTGGGAGCCGGAGGCGGCACGAGAGCGTCACCCGCATCAAAAGATTCTCGGGGTCTCGGGACTTGGGAGCCGGAGGTGGCACAAGAGCGTCACCCCCACCGAAGGATTCTTGGGGTCTTGGGAGAACCTTGTACTTGACGAGGGAGGCGGAACGGGCTTGATCCATTCTTATGTCTAGGCCCCATGGAAAGAATGACTCCAGTTGGCATTTGTGTTGTATGTTTGTATACACACACACACACACACACACACGTACATATGGATCTGTGTGTGATCTGGTCCATTGGTCTATGTTGGTTTTACGAGTCTAACTCTCGGAATCCTAGTGATACCTTATTGTTATCCTTGTTACCATCATAAAAGGGACCTCAGGGTCCAGTGATGTAGTGTGTAGTTATGTATACTGCTTTAGAAACATGAAGAAACTCAGGTCTGGGCCAGGCACAGTGGCTCACACCTGTAATCCCAGCACTTTGGGAGGCTGAAGCGGGCAGACCGCCTGAGGTCAGGAGTTTGAGACCAGCCTGGCCAACATGGTGAAACCTCGTCTCTACTAAAAATACAAAAATTAGCTGGGTGTGGTGGCACATGCCTGTAATCCCAGCTACTCGGGAGGCTGAGGCAAGAGAATCACTTGAATCCAGGAGACGGAGGTTGCAGTGAGACGAGATCACCACTGCCCTCCAGCCTGGGTGACAGAGTAAGACTCTGTCTCAAAAAATAATAAGTAAAAATAAAAATAATAAATAAATAAAAATAAACTGAGGTCTGGAGGCGTGAAATGGCTTGTCCAGAGCCACACAGCAGAGCCGAAACAAGAACCCCTGCAGTGACCACAGCTGTTTCTGCCGTTCTAACTTCTCTCTCCACATTCAAATGAGTTAACATCTGTGTGTGTTTCCCCGTCTGTAAAATGGGAACCACAGGAGTCTCTCACAGGGTGGCTGCAGGATTAACTCAAACTGTACGTGATTAGAAGGTGTGTCCCACAGGTGGGTGTTCAGTAAGAGCTGGTTGTTTTGACTATTATGTTTACACCTGTGTTTTTTCAGTCTGAAAAGCTGAAGGCATGACAGGATTAGAAGTGAATGAAAAGATGTATTGAGAGAACACCCATGAAAGGAGGAGGGTCTGTCAGTCATCTGCTGCTGCCTAACAAATGACTCCAAAACTGAGTGGCTTCAAACAACAAACGAGTATTTCACGCAGCAGCACACTGCTCCCCTCCCCATGCTCCCTAAGTGGGCCGAGGAAGCTGTTCTTTATTTCTGTTTCTTGATTTCAACAGATGCAGAAAAAGAGGAGCTGTTCTTTGAAAGACAGCATGGGTGGTGCAGAGGATTTGGGGCTCAGGGAGAAGTGAGACCAAGGAAGTCACAAACAAGTAATTTTCTTTTCCATCAGCTCATGTTTGCTAAGCTGCAGCCTGTCTCTGTCGTGCCGGTGTCCCCAGCGGGAGCCGGCCCTGGAGGGAGGCAGGTATTGAGGAAGGCGTCACGCAGCAGGTGGCCCCTCCGCGGAGTTTTTCAAGATGGTAGAAATTAGGCAGGCCAAGAAAGGAAAGGGGTCTCTGGCAGACGGAGATGAAGCAAACATCCAGCTGTCTCCCTCCTCCCCTCGCCCTTCAGCGGGAGAGATCTGGTCCTCCAAGCGGCCCCGGCCAGCCCTGGGTGGACTGTTAGTTCATCACTGCAGTTGGTTGGCTGGACGCTGAAGTTCCAGGAAGGTTTCTGGGCCTGACCCTGGCTCCCTGCCTTGTCGGGTTCCCATCTGGAGGGCATGAGCAGGAGTGACGCTGGCCAATCAATCAGATCTTCAGATGCGAGTGGATATTGAAGGCTGGTAGGACCGGAATAGGTGGAGGAGGAGCCCAGTGGTGGACGAAAGGGCCAGGACACACTGTCCTCTCCCCTGCCCTCATCTGCCCTCCCTGTCAGGAGCTGCTTCCCCTGTCTGCTCCCCTCCTCCTGGGGAGGAGCTGGGGCCCAGAGCCCACACACTGTATGCAGGATTGCAGGACTGAGGCTGAGTGCAGGACTGCCGGCATGAGGCAGGGGTGGAAATGTCCAAAATACCTGCAGCTGGGAGACACATGCACGCGCTTTCTCCATTCTTCCCATTCTTACTTTAAAAAAAAGCAATATACAAATGTTTTTTAAAATCTGACATTAGAAAATCACATATATTAATTATATTTAATTTATAATTAAATGTATATATTTTTATATATTTAATTTATAATTAAATGTATATATTTTTATATATTTAATTTATAATTAAATGTATATATTTTTATATATTTAATTTATAATTAAATGTATATATTTAATTTATAATTAAATGTATATATTTTTATATATTTAATTTATAATTAAATGTATATATTTATATATACACTTAATTTATAATTAAATTTATATTTAATTTATAATTAAATTACATATATTAGGGCTAGGTGCAGTGGCTCACGCCCATAATTCCAGCACTTTGGGAGGCTGAGGTGGGTGGATCACTTGAGGTCAGGAGTTCAAGACCAGCCTGGCCAACATGGCGAAACCCCGTCTCTGCCAAAAAATACAAAAATTAGCTGGACATGGTGGCACGTGCCTGTAATCCTAGCTACTCCAGAGGCTGAGGCAGAAGAATTGCTTGAACCTGGGAGGCGGAGGTTGCAGTGAACCAAGATCACACCACTGCACTTCAGCCTGGGTGACAGAGCAAGACTCCATCTCAAAAAAAAATAGGCCGGGCACGGTGGCTCAAGCCTGTAATCCCAGCACTTTGGGAGGCCAAGGTGGGCGGATCCCCTGAGGTCAGGAGTTCGAGACCAGCCTGGCCAACATGGTGAAACCCCATCTGTACTAAAAATACAAAAATTAGCCAGGCGTGGTGTCAGGCGCCTGTAATCCCAGCTACTCAGGAGGCCGAGGCAGGAGAATCGCTTGAACCTGGGAGGCAGAGGTTGCAGTGAGCCGAGATTGAGCCATCGCACTCCAGCCTGGGGGACAAGAGCGAGACTTCATCTCAAAAAAAAAAAAAAAAAAAAGAAAAAGAAAAAGAAAGAAAGAAAGAAATAATAAAATAAAATCACATATATTAGAAAATCACATATAACCCTCCTTCTCCATAGTTAAACTTAATAATTTTTTGCTCCTAATTTTCTCATCTACATATATATTTTAATATAGCTGAAACCACACTGTAGATACAACTTTTTAGTCTGTTGTTTTACTTACTATATTAAGCATGTTTAATATTACTATGTATCTATAATTTTAAGGGAAGAGCTTCATCAAGTAGTTATACCATAATTTAACAAACTTTTCCCTTATTATTATTATTTTTTAGACAGCTCTTGTTGCCCAGGCTGGAATGCAATGGCGCAATCTCGGCTCACTGCAACCTCCAGCTCCTGGGTTCAAGCGATTCTCCTGCCTCAGCCTCCAGAGTAGCTGGGATTACAGGCATGCGCCATCACGCCCAGCTAATTTTGTACTTTTTTTGGTAGAGACGGGGGTTTCTCCATGTTGGTCAGGCTGGTCTCGAACTCCCAACCTCAGGTGATCCGCCCGCCTCAGCCTCTCAAAGTGCTAGGATTACAGGTGTGGGCCACCGCACCCAGCCAACTTTTCCCTTATTGTTGAATATTTAGATAGATTGTTTTTGCTTGGTTTGCTGGTTTCACTACTCTAAATATTTGCCATGGAAACTATGCCTACAGCTTTTCCCTCTCTTTTAGTATTTCCTTAGGATAGATTCCCAGAAGTAGTATTACTGCATCAATGTGTAGAAATCCTTGGTGGCTCTTAACACACATTACCAAATTACTTTTCAAAAATTTGCACCTCAATTGGGCACAGTGACTCACACCTGTAATCCTAGCCCTTTGGGAGGCAGAGGTGGGCAGATTGCTTGAGCCCAGGTGTTCGAGACCAGCCTGGGGCAACATGGTGAAACCCCGTCTCTACAAAAAAATTAGCCGGACATCGTGGCAAGTGCCTGTAGTCCCAGCTACTCAGGAGGCTGAGGTGGGAGGATGGCTTGAGCCCTGGAGGTGGAGGTTGTAGTGAGCCATGATGGCACCACTGCACTCCAGCCTGGGTGACAGAGTGAGACCCTGTCTCAAAAAAAAAAAAAAAAAAATTGCACCTAGAAATGTATGAAAGTGCCACTTTCACCAAATCTTTGCAAGCACTGGGAAGTATTTTTAAAAATCATTTTATAGTTCAGTAGTTTAAAAATCATTCCATGGGGCCAGGCATGGTGGCTCATGCCTATAATCTCAGCACTTCGGGAGGCCGAGGTGGGCGGATCACTTGAGGTCAGGAGTTCAAGACCAACTTGGCCAACATGGTGAAACCCCGTCTCTACTAAAAATACAAAAATCAGCCGGGCGTGGTGGCGGGCGCCTGTAATCCCAACTACTCAGGAGACTGAGGCAGGAGAATCGCTTGAACCCAGGAGGCAAAGGTTGCAGGGAGCCGAGATCAAGCCATCGCACTCCAGCTTGGGTGGCAAGAGCAAGACTCTGTCTAAAAAAAAAAGAATCATGCCATGTATTTTAATGTATTTTTTTTTACCACTTTTGAGAGTTAAATAGCTATTTTTCCTGTGCGTGTGTGTGTGTGTTCTCATAGTGAATTGTCTAAACAAGTCCATCCAGTTAGGATCTTAGTATTTTTCTTATCAATCTAGGTGAGTGTTTTCATTAAATACTGATACTGATAGGGACACTTTTGTCAGATTTGTTGCAAATATTTTCCTTTCCCTATAATTTGTTCCTTTTCTTTTTTTTTTTTTTTTTTAATGAAGTCTCGCTCTGTCCCCCAGGCTGCAGTGCAGTGACATGATCTCTGCTCACTGCAACCTCACCTCCCTGGTTCAAGCGATTTTCCTGCCTCAGCCCCCCAAGCAGCTGGGACTACAGACGCCTGCCACCACGCCCAGCTAATTTTTTGTATTTTTAGTAGGGACGGGGTTTCATCATGTTGGGCAGGCTGGTCTCGAACTCCTGACCTCAGGTCATCCGCCTGCCTCGGCCTCTCAAAGTGCTGGGATTACAGGCGTGAGCCACCGCACTCGGCCTGTTGTTTTTCTTTATCCTCTCCTTTTAAAATGTTAAAAAAACAGACTGGGCATGGTGGCTCACACCTGCAATCCCAGCACTTTGGGAGGCCGAGGTGGGCAGATCACGAGGTCAAGAGATCAAGACCAGCCTGGCCAACATGGCAAAACCCCGTCTCTACTAAAAATACAAAAAATTATCTGGGCATGGTGGTGGGCGCCTGTAGTCCCAGCTACTCGGGAGGCTGAGGCAGGGAGGCAGAGGTTACAGTGAGCTGAGATCGTGCCACTGCACTCCAGCCTGGCGACAGAGTAAGACTCCGTCTCAAACAAACAAACAAACTAGTGGGTTTGGAGGCTGACCTGGGAAGACTGCTTGAGCCCAGGAGTTGAAGGTTACAGTGAGCCAAGATCGCGGCACTGCACTCCAGCCTGGGGAACAGAGTCAGACCCTGTCCCAAAAATACACAGCTGGTGGGAAACAGGCGTCTGCGCACGGAGTCCCTGGCAAGCTCTTCCACGTGCCCGGCGTCACCGGGCTGCACCCGAGCAGGGTGGTCTGCCTAGCACGGGAGGGGGTCACGATGCCAATCAATCAATAAATAAAAAATCATTTTATAGTTCAGTAGTTTAAAAATCATTCCATGGGGCCGGGCGTGGTGGCTCTTGCCTGTAATCCCAGCACTCTGGAAGGCCGAGAGGGGTGGATCACAAGGTCAGGAGCTGGAGACCAGCCTGACCAACATGGTGAAACCCCGTCTTTACTAAAAATACAAAATTAGCCAGGCGTGGTGGTGGGCACCTGTCATCCCAGCTACTCGGGAGGCTGAGGCAGGTGGATGGCTTAGAACCCAGGAGGTGGAGGTTGGAGTGAGCTGATATCGCGCCACTGCACTCCAGCCTAGGCAACCAAGCAAGACTGTCTCCAAAAAAAAGTATTAAAAATAAAGCTAGATTTAATGAAGATCTGAAGGATGCTTTGCTTCATCAATTTCAGAAAGAAATAGAAGACCTGAAAAAGAAGCTCACAGAAGGGGAAGAAATATCAGGCTGTGATGTCAGTGGGTCGGACGGAGATGACAATGAAGAGGGTAAGATTGGAGAAGATGAAGAGAAAAGGAAAAAAGGGGGAAATAAAGTCTTCCCAGAGAGGACGGTTGAAACGCCGGCGACAGCGGATGCGGAGAGAAAGGCACTTGAAACAAAGCTTGACGTGGAAGAAGAAACAAGGCTGCAGCTAAATTCGAGAAACAGGAAAAAAGATCTTAAAACCCAACAAGAGCATCAGTCTTTGCCAGAAAAGTTCTCTGCCCTGGAGAAGAAGGTAATTGTTGGTGGCGTTGATTTGTTGGCCAAAGCCGAGGAACGAGAGAAACTTCTTGAAGAATCTCATACAGAGCTGGAAGAAAGGAGGAAAAGAGCAGAGCAACTTTGCAGAGAACTTGAGGGAAAAAGGTAAGAAGGCTTGGAAACTGAAGGAAAATAGACCAGTTTGCAAGAGGAACCACAGGGAAAGACCGAGATCTTAAAGAAAGTTTGGGCCGGGCGCAGCGGCTCACACCTGTAATCCCAGCACTGTGGGAGGCCGAGGTAGGAGGATCTCGAGGTCAAGAGCTCGAGACCAGCCTGGCCAACATCGTGAAACCCCGTCTCTACTAAAAAAGGAGGCTTGGTAGAGTTACTGGTTTATAGTGTGTTCTTTAAGAATCCTTATGTTGCCTATACCAATAGTTAGGGTGTTAAAATGTAATCGTATTCTCTGTTTGTGTTTAGATTATTATAAAGTAGAAATGTAATAAGGCGAGGAGGTTGCATCACACACTTGCCCCATGAATGGAATCCATTCCATATGCTATTTCATTCACTTTCTGGAGAAAGGGGAATTTTTTTGCAGCAAAAATTTCAGGTGACTTTGTGGTAGGGGGCGGTGCTACTTCATCTGTAACATATTTTTAAAACCATGATTATGCTTTGGGTTTTTTGTTTTTTTTTTCTTTTTGCTTTGCTTCTGTTTCTTTTTAGTCTGTTTTTAATATCCTTCCCCTTCACTTTAATCTCAAGGAAAGTCCTCTTTCCTGCAGGGCTGTGAATTAAAGAATGGGCAGAGTTTACGTTTAAGTAAGCCAGTGTCTGCTCAATTTCCTAATGTACACATTTGTTTTCTTTTTAATTATTCCTTGTTCTTAAAAATACTAGGAGAGGCCGGGCACAGTGGCTCATGCCTGTAATCCCAGCACTTTGGGGGGCCGAGGTAGGTGGATCACCTGAGGTCAGGAGTTCAAGACCAGCCTGAACAACATGGTGAAACCCCGTCTCTACTACAATTACGAAATTAGCCGGGCGTGGTGGTGCATGCCTGTAATCCCAGCTACTTGGGAGGCTGAGGCAGGAGAATTGCTTGAACCCGGAAGGCAGAGGTTGTGGTGAGCCGAGATCGTGCCATTACACTCCAGCCTGGGCAACAAGAGTGAAACTCCGTCTCAACAAAAACAAAAACAAAAATCCTAGAAGAATAGAAGAAAACATAGATCTTTTTCTTTCTTTCTCATTCTTTCGTTCTTTCTTTCTTCTCTCTCCTTCCTCCCTCCCTCACTCTTTTTCTTTCTTTCTTTCTCTTTCTTTCTTTCTTTCCTTTCTTTCTCCATCCTTCCTCCCTTCCTCCCTCTTTCTCGCTTGCTCTCTCTCTTTCTCTCTTTATCTCTTTCTTTCTTTCTTGTTCTCACTTTGTCACCCAGGCTAGAGTGCAGTGGTGCAATCCCCACTCACTGCAGCTTCAACCTCCTGAGGTTCAAGCGATCCCCCTGCCTCAGTCCCCCAAGTCTGAGACTACAGGCATGCACCACCTCTTCAGGCCAATTTTTGTATTTTTTGTAGAGATGCATTTTTACCATGTTGCCCAGGCTGGGAAAACATAGATTTTCTAGTGCCCTTAAACTTATGATGTAATCTAACTCATTTAAATAATTAATAACTTCAGCAGTATTACTGCAATACTGTATACTGGCCAAAATTACAAAGTGAAGAGTAAGTCAGCTGCATCAATTTCAAAAGGCATGCTTTCATTGTACTTTATGTATAAATTGTATCTGTTCAAGTTGTATATATTGATATTGTTGTATATATGCAGCATGGTTAAATAAGAATAACAATTTTTTACCTAAAAAAAAAAAATAAATGGAAATAGCAGTAATCCTGGACCAGAGGAGAGCACTGGATCTCAACCTAGAATGGAGGCCCTCCTACAGACACCCTGGCCTGTGAGGGAGCAGGGCCCAGGGTAGGGGACCCAGGAGGTCTGGCCGTGCAGATCGATTATGGAAGCTGTGAACAGTGGAGAAGAGTTATGCTTTGTTATTTTGTTTTGCTTTGGCAAATGTAACTAGGACAAAAATTGTCCTTCTTTCCCTAGGCAGCTATGGGAAATTCTGGCTTTGCCTATGTTACTAACCACTCCTCAGGAAACGAGAAAAGTGATCAGACTCTTCCGAGGAGGTCAGTCTCTGGAGTTGGCTAACCTTTCAGTTTAGCTCTTCAAGACCCACGGGCTTCCTGCAAACCTTGGCGGTGGCCTCCAGTGGAATATGAAGTGACCAGCAAAGTCCCATGCGGGGGGCTGGTGCATGTTTTCGAAGGAGGAATCGTATCAGAAGCTGAAGGCAGCTCACATCACAACTTGTTTGCAGGGATTTTGTCGCATCTTTCAGTAAAATTAGCAAAAGTGTGACAGCAGTTATAGAGATGTCTGCTGAGGCTGGAAAAATAGCCAGTGGGTGACTCTGCCTCCCCAGTGAGGCTGTGGGACGAGACCTCCCAGGCTAGGCTGCAACTAAACGGCAGAACCGAATGACAGAGAGTGGCAAAAAAATCATTAAGCAGTTTTAGATCAAAACATCTTCCCACTGGGCAAGTATATAATTTTCCCCACCAAGATCACCAAGATCAGACAAGGGGGCCGGGTGCGGTGGCTCATGAGTACTTACCGTGTACCTGTTACTTGCCAGGCTGTGGGTACAGGAGATAAACCTGGTCTCTGCCCTCATGGAGCTTCCTGTCTAGTGGGAAATCTTTCCCCAGCTGTCTGGTGTCCACTCCCTCTGCCTGCCCACTTCTGACCCTTGCCCTCTTCCTCCCCCGCCCTGGGCCTCGCTCCTCTCTTGGCACCTATGGGCAGAGAAAGAGGTTGCCCAGGTTATCAGCCACACCCCTTTGGGCTCCGTTTCCATTTCGGAGTGTGGCCTGGTCTCTGCTCTCCCCAGGGAGGTTTTGTGCATTAGTCACTCGGCTTGCGGAACATGGGTCAGCAGAGATGATGGGGTCACCAGGAGGACAAGGCTGCAGAGCAAGGACTTGCCCCAGAGTCTCACCGCCTCTGGGCCCCTCTGGAATGACCACGGCCAAGCCTGTCCTGGGGAGAAAAGAAGGCACAGGCCGGTGATGGGTCTAGCTGGGGCTGGCGCTAGGTGCGGGGCCCCACCGGTGACATGCCTGATCTGTCCACACGCCCGGAGGAGGGCAGTCCCGGCTGTCCTGGGCTGGCCTGCGCTGCCCCCTTCCCTCCTTTCCAGCCTGTCACAAACCCTGGCACTTCCTGCTTGGTGCCTCGGTTCAGGCCTGGGTCTTGCTCCCTGGGACCAAGGAGGGGCTTCCTCCCTGATCACCCCCGCCCCGGACACCACACCTTCGGTTCACCCTGTGCCCACCTCTGCAGACTCCCAGGAGCAGCCCTGCACAGCGCCTCCCCCACCTCCAAGCCGGACCAGGCCACACCCTCCCCAGTGCTTCTCCTGCTCATCCATGGACAACGCTACAGGCCACCGAGTTGGCCCCCACACCCTTCCTGGGGGTGGGGGTATCTTTATGAAAATGGAGGGGAAATAGAGATGCTCTCAGCATAACAGTGCACCAGAGTCGTGAGGCCACCAATGATGGCAAAAGAAAGGTGCGCTGGTTTTGTGGCTGTGCCTTTCCGAGGGCCATTTTCTTTCACCCTCTCCCCTCCTCCATGGCTCCTAAAGTCTTCTCGTCTGCTCCAGGAAGAGGAAGATTGGACGGAGCCAAGGTCCTGGGTGGATAGAAGGGCCTCCAGGACCCCCTGGATGTGGAGGAGGGAGGGAAAAGCTAGGGTAGAGCAGAAAGAATCCCCAGTGTCCCCATCCTGGGCGAAGGCGGCTCTGAACATGTAAATATTTGATGGATTTACAAGAAAGATTTCCTTCTGGAATAGACTGTATCTTTACACTCTTTCAGATAACATGGGAATAGTTGAAGAGTCCTAATGTTACAAGGAAGGGGTCTCGATCTAGATCCCAAGAGAGGGTTCTTGGATCTTGTGCAAGAAATAATTCAGGGTGTGTCTGTAAAGTGAAAGCAAGTTTATTTTTTTGTTTGTTTGTTTTTATTTCGAGACAGAGTCGCTCTGTCACCCAGGCTGGAGTGCAGTGGCATGATCTCGGTTCACTGCAACCTCCGGCTCCCAGGTTCAAGCCATTCACCTGCCTCAGCCTCCCGAGTAGCTGGGATTACAGGCGCCCGCACCACGCCTGGCTAATTTTTGTATTTTTAGTAGAGACAGGGTTTCACCATGTTGGCCAGGCTGGTCTCGAACTCTTGACCTCATGATCCACCACCCGCCCCAGCCCCTGGCCTCTCAAAGTGCTGGGATGACAGGCGTGAGCCACCATGCCCGGCCCGAAAGCAAGTTTATTAAGAAAGTAGAGGAATAAAAGAACAGCTGCACCACAGATGGAGGCCTGAGGGCTGCTTTGCCCATTTTTATGGCTCTCTCTTGCTGATATGCTAAACAAGGGGTGGATTATCCATGCCTCCCCTTGCTAGACCATGTAGGGGAACTTCCTGATGTTGCCATGGCATTTGTAAACTGTCATGGTGCTGGTGGGCGTGTAGCCATGAGGACGCCCAGAGGTCACTCTCATGGCCATCTTGGTTTTGGTGGGATTGAGCCGGTTTCTTTACTGCACCCTGTTTTATCAGCAAGGTCTTTATGACCTGTATCTTGTGCCAACCTCCTATCTCATCCTGTGACTTAGAATGCCTTCACCATCTGGGAATGCAGCCCAGTAGGTTTCGGCCTCATGTTACCCAGCTCCCATTCAAGATGCAGTCGCTCTGGTTCACACGCCTCTGACACGAATAACAACAGCTAAGGATGATCGAGTCTCTACCGCATGCCAAGCACTTAGCATTGTGACCACTCTTTGTGGCAAATTCTTTTGATGTCTATGATACGGAAGAGAAAACCAAGGCTCGAGAAGGGTGAGAAAGTTGTTCGCGATCCTACACCCAGGCGGGAGTGGGGTATGCCCAGGCGGTCTTGACGAAAGCCCACGTTCCTAGCCATGACACTGGTGAGGTGGCCACGAAGAGGAAGGGACCTCCCATCACTCCGAGGCCCAGCTGCAGCCCTTGGAAGGCTGCACACCTGAGCGTGGTGTGCGCTGAGGCCGGGCCTCCCGGGGCAGCCCCAGGCAGCGGCTGGCTGCGGCAGGGGTGGGAGGGCAGGGGTAGGAAGGCACACGGCGGGTCTGGGGCGCTCCCTCCCTCGTTCCTTCACGCAGGTGCAGACTTGCATGGCCGTCTGAAGGCTCTCCCAGCTCCTCTGGCTGCCTCCTTATTTTCTCTCACACAGTCACCTCCCCTAATAGAACCCTGGGGAGTTTAATCCCCATCTCACGACTGCTTCCCGGAGGAGCCGGACGCACACTTGGCTGTGGATTTGTTCTCCAGCCACGCTCAGCTCCAGCCGGGACCGACGCGCTGAAGCCGCAGGGCCGGGTGCCGCCGGCAGGGGGCGCGCGCAGACAGGGAGGCCCCACCCCGGCCCGCGGAGGACGCGCTCCCCTCCCAGCGCAGCCCCGGCCTCAGCGCCTCGGTCCGCTCCGCCTGCACCTGCCAAGCCCGGCGTGCTGCAAAGCCTCGCTCAAGCTCACGTTAATTCCAAGTGAAGCTCAGGGGCTCTCAGTCCTGGGTGCTCATGACAACTCCGTGGAGAGCTTTTTAAAACTTATGGGCCACCGCCTGGCTCGGTGGCTCACGCCTGTAATCCTAGCACTTTGGGAGGCTGAGGCAGGTGGATCACCTGAGGTCAGGAGTTCGAGACCCGCCTGGCCAACATGGCAAAACCCCCGTCTCTACTAAAAATACGAAAAGTAGCCAGGTGTGGTGGCAGGCACCTGTAATCCCAGCTACTGGGGAGGCTGAGGCAGGAGAATCACTTGAACTTGGGAGGCGCAGGTTGCAGTGGAGCTGAGATCGTGCCATTTCACTCAGCCTGGGCAACAAAGCAAGACTCCGTCTCAAAAATAAAAATAAAAAATAGGCCAGCCACGGTGGCACATACCTGTAATCCCAGCACTTTGGGAGGCCGAAATGGGCGGATCACGAGGTCAGGAGTTCGAGACCAGCCTGGCCAACATAGTGAAACTACTCTATTAAAAAATGCAAAAAATTAGCCGGGTGTGGTGGCAGGCGCCTGTAATCCTAGCTACTCAGGAGGCTGAGGCAGGAGAATCACTTGAACCGCGGGAGACAGAGGTTGCAGTGAGCTGAGATTGCACCATTGCACTCCAGTCCGAGCAATAGTGCGAGATTCCATCTAGAAAATATAAATAAATAAAAATAAAAATAAATAAATAAATAAATAAACCTGGCCACGGCCTAGGGACCGTGCAACTCTTGATCACCTACAAACACCTGGAAAGCACACGTTGTGGCAAACATGGGCTTTGGTGACAGGAAGACCTGGGTCCAGATCTTGCTTGCTACCTGCTTACTAGCTGTGTGACCCTGGACAAACTGCTGAACTTCTCTGAACTTGGTTTTCTTAGCTAAAGAGAGAGAATATAAGACTTCTTATGCTTGTCAGGAGGATTCGTGTAATACCATGTCAAGTTCCAAGCACAGGGTTCTCTCTGGTGGACCAGTCGTTCTCAGCGAGGACAGTGATGACCCCTAGTGGACAGTGTGGGAAGTTCTGGGAGTGTTTCAACGAGGACAGTGATGTCCCCTAGTGGACAGTGTGGGAAGCTCTGGGGGTGTTTTCAGTTGTCACCGAGCCAAGGGCTACCGGCGCGAAGGGCCCGGCCTCCTGCAATGCGTGGGGCAGTGATGCGCCATGAGGAAATGTCACGGATCCTACGTGACAAAATAGTCTTGCGAACAATTTTAAGACAAACTGAATTTTCCGGGAATGCAACTACTGTGTAAGTTGAGAAAGTTTCATAACGTGTTTTGTTCGGCACTTTACCAACAGTTGTTCACCGACGTGGAAATCTTATCACTGGCGGCACCTGCCGCGTGTGGTATCTGAGTGGCCGTGACTCGTGCGTCCGCCCTCGTGTGTCACACAGTCACTTAGGCACAAGCATCTGACCCTTGTAACATCTTAGAGAAACGCTTCTCACGCGCCAGTGCACACAAATGCCTGCGGAACTTGTCAAAGTGCAGTCTCCTGTCCAGTTGGTCTGAGGGGGGACCTGAGAAACTCATGCTATGAGGTCCTAGTGTAGTCACGCCTAAGTGTGTGTGCAGAGAACACATTTATTATAAACTACGCTTCTCTTATCTCTCCTTTTTTTTTCTTTTTTTTGAGTCTTGCTCTGCCACCCAGGCTGGAGTGCAATGGAGTGATCTCGGTTCACTGCAACCTCTGCCTCCCAGGTTCAAGTGATTCTCCAGCCTCCCAAGTAGCTGGGATTACAGGCATGCGCCATCATGCTGGGCTAATTTTTGTATTTTTAGTAGAGACGAGGTTTCACCATGTCAGCCAGACTGGTCTCAAACGCCTGACCTCAAGTGATGTGCCCGCCTCAGCCTCCCAAAGTGCTGGGATTACAGGCGTGAGCCACGACACCCAGCCTCTTATCTCTTGTACAACACTTAGGGCATCATCTTGGGTCGAGTTCCCCAGGAAACACTCTGAGAGGGAGATTTGTGTGCCTGTGAGGGGCAGATAATACAGGATCGGGCAGAGGGAGAAGTGGAGCTGTGATATAGTCATAGCAGAGGATGCAGCTGGTCCCTCAGGGCTTAGGCCTGGGGTGGCCTTCAGAGATGTCCCAAATTGATGCCGGAGTGGAGACTCGACCGGTCACTGGATGTGTGCTTCCCCTCCCCCCAGGGACAAAAATGTGGCTCTCTTGGGCCTCAGCTGTGAGCTGTGAGCAGCCGACACTCCTGCAGCTGGAGGAAGGGTCTTGGTCCTGGATGACTGGTGTGGGTGGCAAACCCCAAATCTGCGATCAACAGTACGCTGATGTTTAAACATGGTATGTGGACAGATTACATTACCTTTGGAATTTAATTTCAGTATAGTAAGGCAAACCCCGAATCTGTGACTGACAGTAGGCTGATGTTTAAACACGGTATGTGGACAGATTATATTACCTTTGGAATTTCATTTCAGTAAAGTAAAGGTGTTGCAAAATATTTGTCCTAGAAAGGGAACACTGAGTTTCGTAGGTTTACAGCCTCTGTACAGGGTAAATGGCAGAGGCTCCTATTACCAGAAATGATAGTTCACCAAGCTCAGCAAATACCTACTGAGTGCCTACCATGTGCCAGGCGCTGTTTTAGGCACTTGGAGATACATCGATGAACAAAGCAATGAAGGCCTGTCCTCACTGGAGCTTACATTCCAGCAGGTGACAAGGGGTTACAGGCTGTGATCACAGTTTTCAGTTTCAGGCCCACATCTGCCCTCTGGATGACCCACAAGGCATCCCATAGTTGGCATCAGTCAATGGGTACCTAGTTTACAGCAAACCCACCACAACAGCTGGACAGGCACAGAGAACTCTTCTCTCTGACCAGAGGATCTGTGCTTCCAAAAGTATGGAGGAAATTCCCATTGGCTTTTTTTTCTCGTTCCATCTTCTCTTTGTTTGGCCGCAGAGGCAGCTGCAGTCTCAGGAAGTGTGTGGTGAAGCAGGGAAGCTAAAGCCCAGGCCTTCAAGCCAAAGAGCCAGAAAGGGTGGGGGAATAAGGGTGGGGTGGGGTGGCCCCAAAGCCAGAAAGTGTCACAGAGACTGAAGAGAAGGAGGTGCTCAGGGCAGGAATCCCATAAAGCTGGATCCAAGCTCCTGGGCCCATCCCTCGACGGCACAGGCATGGACCGTAAATATCCCTCGACGGCGCAGGCGCGGGCCGTAAGTATCCCTCGACGGCGCAGGCGCGGACCGTAAATTGCACACCGAAGGCCCTGAGAACTGAACCGTGGGTAGATTATCACCCCGGTCCCAGACTGGCCACTGGTTTGTGCACGTGTGGGGCAGATCCCAACCACAAAATACAGAGACTTGAAAACTGACATTGGAGCTGCCCTCGCTGGAACTTGGGGTCTCAGCCTAAGTCAACTACCTGCTAAAACCAACCTGCTGACAAACAAAAATAACATTCTCTGCAGGCTTTAAACAAGACCCAGAATCTCATAACTTCATCTTCACAGAGTCTAAGATACAATCCAAAACTACTCAACGTACAAAGAACCACAGAACTCTCACATCTCACAAGGAGAAAGACAAGCAACTGAGGCCAATCCCAAGATGAGGCAGGTGTTGGAATATCACAGACGTTAAGCAGCTGTTATAACCATGCTCCAAGGAGTAAGAACAAACACTACTGAAGTGAACAAAAAGATACATCATCTTGGCAGATACATGAAATATTAAAAAGAAATATGAAAATTTTAGAACTGAAAAATACAACAACCCAAATAGAAAATTCGCCTGAGAGGCACAAGATGAGAATGGGCCACAGGCCATGGACCTCCACAGGCAGCCCCGAGGCCTCCTCGGGTTTGGAGGACGTGGGTGGAGGGCACTGAGACCAGCACCAAAACAAGTGGCTTTGGTCCCAGAACCCTTGATGCTGCTGCCACTCAGGCCACCCATGTCCAAATCTGCCCAGTCCTGCCTGGCTCACAGTCTGGCTGTGCCTGCCTCCCCTCACCTCCACCCCTGCCCCACAACCATTACGCATTTCCTCAACTGCCTCCTCTATGAGCCCCTCCCACCCAGATGCAAGCTCCCACCGGGAGGGGACTGGTGGTTTCTCTCTTACTGTCATCACGACGCTCTGCATACAGCAAGAGGCACAAGAGGAGGTCTGGCAAAAGGAGGACGCACCTCCAACTTGGTCTGCAGGGAAGAAGCAAAAGTGAACAGGAAATAAGGTCTCGCAGCTGGAAGTTCTGACGCTTTGAATTCCTCACAATTTCTCAACCCCATTTCAAGACGAGGAAACTGATGCCATTGAGAGATTAAAAGGCTAGAATGGGCGGGCGCGGCGGCTCACGCCTGGAATCCCAGCACTTTGGGAGGCCGAGGCGGGTGGGTCACTTGAGGTCAGGAGTTTAAGAACAGCCTGGCCAACATGGAGAAACCCCGTCTCTACTAAAAATACAAAATTAGCCGGGCGTGGTGGCATATCCCTGTAATCCCAGCTACTTGGGAGGCTGAGGCAGGAGAATCGCCTGAACCCGGGAGGCAGAGGTTGCCGTGAGCTGAGATCGTGCCATTGCACTCCAGCCTGGGCAACAAGAGTGAAACTCCATCTCAAAAAATAAAATAAAATAAAATAAAAGGCTAGAATGAAGTTGCACACAAGTAGCAGAGCTGGGGCCCAACCCAGGGCCTTTAGCAAGGGAAGATGACAGAGCAAAGAAAAGAGGCACAGACAGCAGAGGCAGCTCTGGGAAGGGCCAAAGCATCAGCCTCCGCCGTCGGCCTTCTCCTTCCTGGGACAGAACGCCAGAGCTGGGAGGGGCCCGATCTCCTCCTTTACGGTCTGTGAAACTCAGGCCCAGGGAAAACAGGGGCCTGCCTAAGGTCACACAACCAGTGGCAGAAATACCTGCTTTCCTGAACTGTCTATATTTAAGTAAAACTAAGTACAATAAGGCTTTTAGAAGCTTCATCAGGATTTCATTTTTACCAAAATATGTACAGTGTAAGAAGAAAGTTCTTGAGCCAGGTGCAGTGGTGCATGCCTGTAGATCCAGTTACTCAAGAATAGCAACACCCTATCAGAAAGATAGGGAGGGAGGGAGGAAGGGAGGGAGGGAGGGAGGGAGGAAGGGAGGGAGGGAGGGAGGAGTGTAGAGGTGTGCTTAACAAATCTTTTGCTCAAATAGCATAATGGGCCCAGGCGCAGTGGTTCACACCTGCAATCCCAGCACTTTGGGAGGCTGAGACCGGTGGATCACTTGAGGTCAGGAGTTCGAGACCAGCCTGGCCAACATAGTGAAACCCTGTCTCTACTAAAAATACAAAAATTAGCCAGGCGTGGTGGCACATGCCTGTAATCCCACCTATTCAGGAGGCTGAGGCAGGAGAATCACTTGAACCCAGGAGGCAGAGGCTGCAGTGGGCCGAGATCGCACCACTGCACTCCAGTCTGGGCAAGAGAGTAAGATTCTGTATCAAAAAAAAAAAATAGCATAATGGCCAACTGTGATTTTTTCAAGGAATGCACCAGAGTAAATGCTAAGCACTGAGAGGGGATGATTCAATAGTAATAGACTTAGCACAGTTAGGTTTCTTTGGCAATAAGAATAATAGAAGAAAAATGGGAACTATCTCTATAACCAGCCAAACGGGAATGACAGAGTATTTTGGCACATGTGCTCAATATTTACAAATCTATAATAAAGTGAGCACGTTAAAAAACATACACACAACAGGAGAGAAGCCCCAAGCTGTGCAACAGTGATTGGATTCAAGAGCCAGGATGAGCTGAAGGTTCCGTTGTTCTCTTTTGCATGACACTTAGGGCAGCATCTTGGGTGGAGTCCCCGGGAAACACTCTGAGAGGGAGGTTATCCAGAAGCTCTATAATGAGAATGTTCTTTTGGCAAACAAGGTAAACATTTTATTTGGGGGGAAAAAGCCATTCTTTTATTTTGGCACAGGGCTGACAGTTGGAATGACAGCTTGTGTGATGTCAGGCCCTCCATACCTGCTCACCTGTTCCTGCTTTGCTCATCACTGCCCTCTGGCTCCCAGCACAGTGCCAGGTACACAATAGAAAGTAGAAAACATGTGTTGATGAATGGATTAATAACATACTTAGACATAAGATATTATTTGAAATTTTAAAACTTCTATGAGGGGGCAGAATTTTATTTTTCTTTTTTCCTTTTTCGACCTCAGAAGCTTCCAGAAAAAAAAAATCGTTTTAATTAAAAAGAAAAATGCCTGGGTGCGGTCGTTCACGGCTGTTATCCTAGCACTTTGGGAGGCCGAGGCAGGTGGATTGCTTGAGCCCAGGAGTTCCAGACCAGACTGAGCAACATGGTGAAACCCTGTCTCTACAAAAAATTAGCCGGGCGTGGTGGCGCCTGCCTGTAGTCCCAGCTACTTGGGAGGCTGAGGTGGGAGAATCACCTGAGCCTGAGAGGCAAAGGTTGCACTGAGCCCAGACTGCGCCACTGCACTCCAGCCTGGGCAACCGAGCAAGACCCTATCTCAAAAACAACAACAAAACTTCTAGTACAGAAAGGAATTAGAATTATTCTAAATGGGAAGTATGTAACTGAGACAAAGAAAAATAAATGCACATTAGACAGAGGAAGCTGTTAGCTTTCTTGCCTGCAGACTAGGCTGTGGTTAAACAGCATCGTTATCAGACAAGACAGAGTGCTAGTAACCCCGGACTTCGGCAGCCGAACCACTCCCCCAAACACAGTGCTGCCTGGGCCTCTGAAAGAAGCTCAAGCCTGTAGCGCCGCCACCTCCGACCCGGGTTAGGCCCGACACGGCTTTTCCTCTGATCAATTCTCCTCACTCCCAAGGCCATGAGGAGCCCTGAGGTTCCAAGGGAGAGAGGGTGAGCGGGGTGGGCGGCTGGCAGGCCAAGAAGGGAAGGGAGTAGCGGGGCTCCCTGCAGGCTGAGTCCTTCCAGAGCCACCCTGGCTCAGGGATGGTCACTGCTCCAGGGCCCTCTCTGATACTGGCAGGGGAGGACATGGGACTGGGGACCCAGTGATTTGCCATCACAGACAGTATGTCTTCCATTTAAACAATTACTGCATTTTGGCCGGGCGTGGTGTCTCAAGCCTGGAATCCCGGCACTCTGGGAGGCCGCGGCAGGACGATTGCTTGAGCTCGAGAGTTCAAGACCAACCTGGGCAACATAGTGAGACCTCATCTCTAAAAATAAAATAAATAAAAATGAAATAAAATAATAAAATAAAATAAAAATCCTCTGGGCATGGTGGCTCATGCCTGTAATCCCAGCACTTTGGGAGGCCTAGGCGGATGGGTCACCTGAGGTCAGGAATTCGTGAGACCAGCCTGGCCACCAGAGTGAAACCCCATCTCTACTAAAAATACAAAAATTAGCCGGGCATGGTGGCAGGCGCCTGTAGTCCCAGCTACTCGGAGGCTGAGGCAGGAGGATCGCTTGAACCCGGGAAGCAGAGGTTCTGGTGGGCCGAGATCGCACCATTGCACTCCAGCCTGAGTGACAGAGTGAGACTCCATCTCTCTCTCTATATATATATGTATATATATATGTATGTATATATATGTATATATATATTTTATATAAACATACATATAAAAATTTTACATAAATATTTTAAAATATATGTCCAGAACATAAGTCCTTTCTTTAAAAACATATATGGCCAGACACGGTGGCTCACGCCGGTAATCCCAGCACTCTGGGAGGCTGAGATAGGTGGATCACCTGAGGTCAGGAGTTCAGGACAAGCCTGGTCAACACGGTGAAGCCCCATCTCTACTAAAAATACAAAAAAGTCAGCTGGGCGTGGTGGTGTGTGCCTGTAATTCCAGCTACTTGGGAAGGCTGAGGCAGGGGAATCGCTTGCACCTGGGAGGTGGAGGTTGCAGTGAGCCGAGATCGGGCCACTGCATGCCAGTCTGGGTGACAGAGTAAAACTCTGTCTCAAAAAAAAAAAAAAAAAAAAAAAAAAAAAATATATATATATATATATATAGAGAGAGAGAGAGAGAGAGAGAGAGAGTACATTTTCTTTCATAAAAAAACTCAAAACTTATGTTTTATTTTAATAAGAGAGCCAAATATTTCTGGAAAACCTTTTAGCACTATTTATTAAAACAATTTGTTACAGCTGGGTGCGGTGGCTGACGCCTGTAATCTCAACACTTTGGGGAGGCCGAGGTGGGTGGATCACTTGAGCACAGGAGTTCGAGACCAGCCTGGGCATCATAGTGAGATCTCATCTCTACAGAAAAAAGAAAAAAAAGAACAAAACTATGTGGGTATAGTGGCGCCTGCCTGTAGTTCTCACAGCTTGGGAGGCTGAGGTGGGAGGATCCCTTGGGCCTGGAGGATCAAGGTACGGTGAGCCGAGCTGAGCTGGAGCCACTGCACTCCAGCCTGGGAGACAGAGGGACACCTTGTCTCTAAATAAATGAACAGTTACAAGATAAAAAACATTAACAAAATGTGTTAACTGGAGTTTATCCACAGAATAAAAACTAGGTAGTGTTTAAATATTCTTTGAGAAGATGAATTTAAAGATACAGAAAACTGGCCAGGCACAGTGGCTCATGCCTATAATCCCCGCACTTTGGGAGGCTGAGGCGGGAGGATTGTTTGAGTCCAGAAATTCGAGACCAGCCTGGGCAACATAGTGAGACCTCGTCTCTACTAAAAATAAAAAAATAAAAAAATTAGCCAGGTGTGGTGGGGCACGCCGGTCACCCCAGCTGCTTGGGAGGCTTAAGTGGGACGATCGCTTGAGTCCAGGAATTCCAGGCCACCCTGAACCATGATCATGCCACGGCACTCATCCTGGGTGACAGAGAGTGACCTTGATTCAAACAAAAAACCAAATAAAATAAAGATAAAAATAAACCTTAAGGAAACCCTGCATGCTGGATGACCTTATTTTATAAAACCGTAATACACATATATGTGCACAAAAAAAAGTGGAATATATCAAAATTTTAAGTGGCTTTCTGGGTCTTTAATTTTCTCACTGCGCTCTTCTGAATGGTCCAAGTCAACAAAGAGCATGTATAACAATCATAAAAACATTTTTTTTTAATACAGTGGAACTGAGGCTTCCCAAATGGAGTGACGTGATGCGAGGACTTCTGCTGGAGAGTGACTGCCCGCTCTCCCAGCCCTCAGCTTCCCTCCAGCTAGCCCAGAGCCGCAGGTTTCTGGCCCAGGTGCAGGCGTGGTGTTTTTCAGAGCCCTCCACCCGTCTCCTTTCCTGACCTTAGATACTGGCTGGTCCCCGTTTGGCTCCAGATGGCGGGCGACCCAGTTCCTTCCCCTCCCAGCTTCCCTGGGCTGACTCCCTTTAAGCACCCATGGGCTTGAGCCAGCAGATTTGGAATTAATTGATTTATTGGGCAATGAATACACAATCTCATCCCTCCCACTCTGAAATTTAGCCAGAGGGCCTGCAATGCCACATTTTGCCAACAGGTGGTGCTGCCTAACACGAAAGCTCTCTGGCCCCGGGTCCTCAAGATGGACTTCGGGGATCATTAAAATAGCAGTCATTGGTGAGGGGCATCCTGACAGGGCACGGGGGACACAGTTACCGCCTAACACCACCACCACCACTACGCAACAACAGCCATTTCAGTACCAAGAACTCAGGAAGACACATCCAAATAAAGACCGTCCTTGAAACGGAATCTCTTTCATTTTAAGAAAAGCTCGGTCCTGCAGTTCTTATCATTTCACCTCAGGTGGCTGAAAACTTAACTCTAGACCGGCAGCGGCCCTGGACTGGCCTTCAAGAACCCTTGCTCTCGACAAAGACTCCAGCAGTTGGAGGTTCCTCCAACCTCCAAATGCAGTTTCTGTACAAATGAACTTGCTTCCAATTAAGGAAACCTTTTGTCCGCAGGGAGAGACGCACTAGGCCTTTCCTCCTTTTGTGGCTGCAGTGGAGCCGCCAGCCGCTTTCAAGCAGCCCCATCCTGAGCACCCAGATGCAACCCCACTACCCCTCTGGCTATTCCTGATGTCTTCCTTTGTCTACAAAGTCAAAAGAACTCAGCATTCCACACCAGCAGCCTCATGATCCAGGCCTGCCTCACGCGCCAGGATCACGAGAGCCGCCTCTAACCCACCCCCAAAACAACAAAAGGATGCGCTCTGGCCTTGCCAACTTCAGTGCCTGGGACAAGCCGGCTCGTGCCCGCCGCCTCGGCTGCAGGGCCCTCCACCTGCAGCGCTTTCGTCCCTACCTGGCGTTCACCGTTCTCACCCATCACATCAGCACAACGTGACCTTGTGGGGAGCCACCTCCTCTGCTCCCAAGACACCTGGTGCGTAACGATTACAGAGCACCCGTCCTGCCGTGATGCTGTCACAGTCCCCCAAAGGCTGTGGACCCATCTGGGGCACGGACTGTTTCTACTTGGCTTGTGTTTCCTCATCAGGGCTCCACACACAAAAAGCACCCGACACCTCCCCACTGAGTTGATTCTCCCTGTTGTTGATTCTGCCTGTTGTTGATTCTGCCTGTTGTTGATTCTCCCTGTTGTCGATTCTCCCTGTTGTTGATTCTCCGTTGTTGATTCTCCCTGTTGTTGATTCTGCCTGTTGTTGATTCTGCCTGTTGGCAAACACACCTGGGTCAGCGTTTCAACTTCCCAACTTAAGATCTTTTCAGTAAACCCAGGAGATGCTGGAAAAGCTGGCAGGCCGATTAGAAGCAAGAAAAACATAGCAGGAAACCCAGGGTTTAGGGAACTGTGTGTCTGGCAGGAAAAGTACACTGGGTTCCCTGCTCCCCTGAGAAACCTCGAGCTGCTTTGACATCCTCTGCCCCCTGCAAAAATCTTTCTGGATGTGTTGGCTCTGAAACAGATTTTTAAATGCTTGTAAAGCATACACACATCTGGATTGCTTACAAAAAATTGATGTGTTTTTTAAAATGAAGTAAAAACACCTATGATCTATAAATAGGATAATTGTGAGCAAAAGAATAAACTTTCTGAAACAGAAGGAAAATGAGAAAAGTAAAACACAATTCTATGCGCAGAGTGTGGTCAGTGTATAATGTGAGCTATTGATTAATAGAAACAGGCAGGAACACGGGGAAATAACATTTATAATAACTACTGTTTGGTGGGAACTGACTGTGGCCCATACTCTAAGCAAAATGTTTCACCTTCACAACCTCAGTCAGTCCTCACAACCCTTCTATAAGGCAGGAATTACTCCATCAGTTTACAGACTCAGAAAGGTGAAATAACATTTCTAAGACGAAACAGAGCTAGGAATGAAATCCAGGTCTAACAGCAATGCTCAACACTCACTTAATATGAACTTGTTCTGGCTGGATGCGGTGGCTCACGCCTGTAATCCCAGCACTTTGGGAGGCCGAGGCGGGCGGATCATGAGGTCAGGAGTTCAAGACCAGGCTGACCAGTATGGTGAAACCCCATCTCTACTAAAAATCCAAAAATTAAAAATCCAAAAATTAGTCGGGTGTGGTGGTGTGCGCCTGTGGTCCCAGCTACTCAGGTGGCGGAGGCAGGAGAATCACTTGAACCCAGGAGGCAGAGGTTGCAGTGAGCCGAGATTGCACCACTGCACTCTAGCCTGGGCAACAGAGCAAGATGCCGTCTCAAAAAAAAAAAAAAAAAAAAAAACTTGTTCCCTTTTGTGATATATTTGACTAGGTATTTTAAATCACAGTTAAAATAATAGAATTCCTGCCTTTGCAAACGGCATATGCAAAGCTCCCAGGCCTCAGAACTTCTGAGCCTCGGGGCCTACCCACGAAGGCCAGCCTACAGCCAGACACACACGTGGCCCAGACTCACCCTGAATGGCCTCTGTTTTGTTTTCAATAAACCCGAGTCATTAAGCTTACTTTCTTATGATTTACCTCTTTTCCTAAAGTTCACATGATCATATGTGAAGCTCAAAGAGCTAGTTTCCTTGATTGATCCAGTAATTTCCTGGAAAGCAGTAAGAAACCGATGAATAATCTAACATTTTGTAATGGGCCAAGGATATTAATAGGCAACTCATTAAAAAGGAAATACAAATGGCTCAACTTATTTTTGAGTTTATTCGTAAGAGAAATGCATATTAAAACTATAGAAACACTATTTTCTACCAGTCAGTCTGCCAAAGATCAGAAAACTCCTTAACACATGGAAAGCTCCCTTGCACAGGTGGTGTGACAACTGAGAATGTCCCTCCGCTGAGAGCAGGTTCAGCACCACCCACCGCCATGGCACACGCCCTTTGACCTAGCAGTCCCACTGCTGGGAACTCATCTTCAGATTGACGTGCGAGTGAAAAACAGCCCACATACACAATTTACTGAGGCAATGGTTGTAATTGCGAAGGACTGGATGCAACTAAAATTGCCCTTCATCAAAAGGAACCCAGTTAAGTAGGTTATGGTACACCCGTGCATCCACGCAACCCGAAAGAATGGGGAAGCCCAGCCGGGCGCGGTGGCTCATGCCTATAATCCTAGCACTTCGGGAGGCTGAGGCAGGCGGATCACCTGAGGTCAAGAGTTTGAGACCAGCCTGGCCAACATGGAGAAACCCCATCTCTACTAAAAATACAAAAATTGGCTGGGTGTGGTGGCACGTGCCTGTAATCCCAGCTACTCAGAGGCTGAGGCAGGAGAATTGCTTGAACCTGGGAGGCAGAGGTTGCAGTGAGCAGAGATCGCACCACTGTACTCCAGCCTGGGCAACAAGAGCAAAACTGTCTCAAAAAAAAAAAAAAAAAAAAGAATGGGGAAGCACGTTCAGTATTGCTATGGAATTCTTCAAAATATTATTAAGTAAAAACAAAAACAAGCACTACACAAGAAACTGGTGATACAGGCGTCTCTGCACTGGGGAAGTGGACGGCCGCGGTGGGTGATACCCAGTCATTTCACTGTACACTCCTCAGTGCCTTTTCAATTTTGAACCGTATGAACATGAGTTATTCAGAAAAGCAATTAAAATACCTAACATATTGAAGGGTTCCTTGTTGCTAACATTTCTGGCTTGGTTCTATTTAACTGGGTTGCTGTACTCTCTCCTGCAGTATATATCCTGCCTTACAGAAGTCCACGCGGCAAGTGAAATCCAGGCAGTGTGAAAGTCACTGACCAGACCGGCGGGGACTCTGGCCCCGCTGCCGGCCGTGTAAGGGAAGAGGCCTCCCGGTGTCCAGGCCTGCGCGCCCTCCCGCTGCCTCCAGGTGGTGCTACAAGGCCTGCTGCCCGGAGCAGATGCTGGTGGCCTGGGGAGCCTCGCTTGGGGCCTGGAGCTTGCTGACTAACAGGCAAAGAAACAGGCAGGCACAAGTAAGTAACATAAAATAGAAACTAACTTTATTTCTCTGGAAGAAGCAGGTACTGAATGCCGGAGCAGCAACTTCGCCAACAGGCTGGTGGGAAAACATGGAACCGCGTGGGGGAATTGGGTGGAAGAGGAAGCACTGATGTCCCTCCAGGGCGGCTGCCCCTTGGTCTCCTTCCAGCCCTGGGGCCTTGGGCCCTGGTCCCCGCCAGAGAATGGTCTGGCACCCTTTCTCCGCTTCCTGAGCCACCTCAGGCTATTTCCAGGCACAAGATCCTGAGGCCAGCCAAGTCCCATTCAAGTCCATGGTAAGGCCACAAGTCACATTCTGCCCGACACCCCAGCTGCTGCCAGGGGCCCCCTGGAAGAAGGCCCAGTCCTAGGAGGTCCCACCGGGTGCCGGTCCGCCTCTCCCTGTGGCCAACACATCCCGCCTGCCCAGGTCCAGCCTGGTTTCCTCCCAGTCTGTCACCCAGGGCAGGGCCTGGGGGTACTACTCCACCCACAGGCCCCGCCCAGGACCAGGGCCAGAGGCAGGTCATACCCAGAGCCTGCTGGGGCAGCCCTCAAGCCTGTCTTCACCCGGCCCCTTCCACATCTTGGCAGGGGCACCGGGACTGAACCAAAGTGTGCAGGGACAGCGCTGGTGCAGGAGGGATGGGCAGGGCAGGGCTCCCAGCCTCCCGCAGCCTTGGCCTTGCTCCATCCCCGGGAGCAGCAGGAGCAGCGGGTCCTCCAGGACTGGATGGGGGCATCTCCCCACTCCTGGTGGACGGACAGGCTCAGGTGATTCCTTCAGGCAGGCCCTCTGGCTCTCCAGACGCATCTCAGCGCCTAGAGAATGGGAAACCACCAGCACAGTTAAACAGTTTACAGAAGGTTCAGCGGGGCAGGCACCGGGGGTCACACTGGTGCCAGGCAACACCACTGGAAGCTGGCAGTCCCCGGCAAGGACTGTAAAATTTATCATCCTGGATGTCTTTTCTCTGTACTTTAATAAACTATGAGTAAACTAACAGAAGAGCACTCCTGCGTATTAGAGAATCCGAAGACGACAGGTGGGATAGAGCCCAAAGCCTATGTGGATGCAAATCAGTAAGAACCACCCGAGACAGCGACAGACAGGTGACACGGAGTGCCTGCATCCCAGCTGCAAATCAGTAAGAACCACCCCAGACAGCGACAGACAGGTGACACGGAGTGCCTGCATCCTAGATGCAAATCAGTAAGAACCACCCGAGACAGTGACAGACAGGTGACACGGAGTGCCTGCATCCCAGATGCAAATCAGTAAGAACCACCTGAGACAGTGACAGACAGGTGACAGCGAGTGCCTGCGTCCCAGATGCAAATCAGTAAGAACCACCCGAGACAGTGACAGACAGGTGACAGCGAGTGCCTGCGTCCCAGGTGCAAATCAGTAAGAACCACCCGAGACAGTGACAGACAGGTGACACGGAGTGCCTGCGTCCCAGGTGCAAATCAGTAAGAAACACCCGAGACAGTGACAGACAGGTGACAGCAAGTGCCTGCGTCCCGGGTGCAAATCAGTAAGAACCACCCGAGACAGCGACAGACAGGTGACACGGAGTGCCTGCATCCCAGATGCAAATCAGTAAGAACCACCCGAGACAGCGACAGACAGGTGACAGCGAGTGCCTGCGTCCCGGGTGCAAATCAGTAAGAACCACCCGAGACAGTGACAGACAGGTGACACGGAGTGCCTGCGTCCCAGGTGCAAATCAGTAAGAACCACCCGAGACAGTGACAGACAGGTGACAGCGAGTGCCTGCGTCCCAGATGCAAATCAGTAAGAACCACCCGAGACAGTGACAGACAGGTGACAGCGAGTGCCTGCGTCCCAGATGCAAATCAGTAAGAACCACCCGAGACAGTGACAGACAGGTGACAGCGAGTGCCTGCGTCCCAGGTGCAAATCAGTAAGAACCACCCGAGACAGTGACAGACAGGTGACAGCGAGTGCCTGCGTCCCGGGTGCAAATCAGTAAGAACCACCCGAGACAGTGACAGACAGGTGACACAGAGTGCCTGCGTCCCGGGTGCAAATCAGTTAAGAATGACCCGAGACAGGATGGGACAGACAGGTGACACCGAGTGCCTGCATCCCAGGTGCAAATCAGTAAGAACCACCCGAGACTGGGACAGACAAGTGACACGGAGTGCCTGCATCCCAGGTGCAAATCAGTAAGAACCACCCGAGACAGTGACAGACAGGTGACAGCGAATGCCTGCGTCCCAGGTGCAAATCAGTAAGAACCACCCGAGACAATGACAGACAGGTGACACAGAGTGCCTGCGTCCCAGGTGCAAATCAGTTAAGAACGACCCGAGACAGTATGGGACAGACAGGTGACAGGGAGTGCCTGCATCCCAGCTGCAAATCAGTAAGAACCACCCGAGACAGTATGGGACAGACAGGTGACACGGAGTGCCTGCATCCTGGCGCCAGGCGTGCTGGGCGCAATAAGACAGACATGTCCCCCATCCATCGCGCCAGTCCCTTCCACGGGGTGAGCACTATTATCTACACGCTTTATATGTGGAGAAACTCCGCACCGTGCACAGGGCCACGCTGCTGGGACAAGGGCAGCAGGTATCTCCAGGGCCTGGCCCGTGTCAGCCCCTCCTCCCGCCAGTGCCTCCTGCCATGGTGCTGGCTCCAGCCATGTGACCTCAGTTCACTTCTTTTTGACTTGACAGCGCTCTCATATATATATTTACATAATATATAAAGTGTGTTTATATATGTATATATTTTAAATGTCTATATATTTTGTTAAACTATAATATAAACCTTTTACAGGAAAGACAATATATTTTCTTTTTAGAGAAAATTTTTTTTTTTGGAGACAGTCTCCCTCTGTCGCCCAGGATGGAGTGCAGTGGTGCAATCTCAGCTCACAGCAACCTCCGCCTCCCAGGTTGAAGCGATTCTCCTGCCTCAGCCTCCCCAGCAGGTGGGATTACAGGTGCCCACCACCATACCCGGTTAATTTTTGTATTTTTAGTAGAGACCTGGTCTCGCCATGTTGGCCAGGCTGGTCTCGAACTCCTGACCTCAGGTGATCCTCCCTCCTTGGCCTCCCACAGTGCTGGGGATTACAGCCATGAGCCACGGTGCCCAGCCAACACTGAAATTTTAAATGTTACTTTAAACAGAAATATGGAAACACAGAGGTGAGAAAGAGGTGTGCAAATCATGGGGTCCTAAAAAGTGCCATTCCTGGAGCCGCTCAGGGTCACTGCAGGTGCTAGGGAAGCAAGCCTCCTTCAACCAGAGAGGCTCCAATTCCCTCTTGTACTCATTTGAAAACCAAGTGGCTAAAATGTCCAAATAAACACATTTAGGAAAAACGATTTGCTGGGCCCTGTGAGCGCCTCCCTCCCGCAGCTGGAGAGCTGTGTCTCCCTGGCCGGGAGCGGCCTGCGAGGTGTTGGGCTTCCTCCCAGTGTGGCAGGCTCTGGGACAGCCCTCCTGGGGCACGGAGCGGGGCAGACTGTGGGGCTCACTCACTTGTGGTGGGCAGGGCCCCAGGAGCCCAGAAGGTGGCAGCCGGCCTGCTCCAGGTTCCAGTCGAACATCTCCAGCACTTTGTGGCACTCCCCTCTGGGCCGCAGACCCAGCCCGAAGAGCTGCTCCACCTGGGGGTAAGGGTGGCGCCATGGACACGCGGGCCCAGGGCACCGACTAGGGTGGGGAAGAGGGGAGTCGGAGCCAGGGGGCGTGGGGCTGGGGGCAGCAGAACCAGGCTTCAGGGTCCCTGAGAGCCAGAGTGAGCAGGAGGTGGCGGTACCTTCAGATACTGGGCAGCCCTCTGCACGCTCCAGCCGTGGCACTGCAGGGCCGCCTGGCACTCCTCTGTGGTCACCCCATGCACCATGGCCTGCAGCTGGGCACACCCACCCCTGTCAGCACCACTAGGGCCCACTGCTCCAGGCCCCTTGGGCCCTGCCCCGCTTCGCCCACAGCCAGGCTGGGTGCTCACCATCTGGATCTTGTCTGCTGGCCGGCCCGCCTCTGGCCCATCGCCAGGGCAGCCCCTCTGTGGCAGCCGAGCAGTGGCCCTCGGGGGTGGTGGCCGGGCCCCTGGGTTGCTGTTGTTGGTGGAGAAGTTGGCCTTGGGGTCCAAGGCAGCCTGGGGCATCGGCCGCACGGTGGCCGTGGGGGCGGCGGGGGCTGGGGTGCTGGGTGGGGGCAGCAGCAGAGGCACAGGCAGGGGGGTAGGCTCCTCGGGGCTCTGGGCCTCACGCAGGAAGCGCTGGTAGCGCTCCAGGTAGGATGGTCGCTCGGGCAGCAAGTAATAGTGGGTGCTGCTGACCTTCTTGCCATCCCGGACGATGGGCAGGATGCAGGGACCAGCCCGCGGGCCAGGGGCCTGGATCACCTGGGGGGTGGCGTACTTGGGGTCTGAGGCAAAGCTCTGGGTGGTGGGCATGGTCTTCCCAGGTGAGCTTGAGAGCCGGGGTGGCAGCGGGGAGCTGCCAGGTGGTACCAGGGGGCTGGGTGTCCTCGAGCCTTGAGGGGACAGGGGCTCCCGCGGAGGCACCCGGGGAGGGGAAGCAGGTCCAGGCCACTGGCTGGTCTCCTCCTCGCCCGGGGGGGCTGGAGACAGCTGGACGTGTGGGCGCGTGGGCCGAGGGGGGATGGGTACCCGAGGAGGCACCTGGGGCTTGTCGTCACCCCCCGGGCTGGGAGAGGGGGCCGGGGAGCCGGCCGGAGCCTGCAGTTGCCTCATGCACTCCTGCTGTAGCGCCTGGAAGATCTCTGCGGTCTGTGCGGAGCTGGGCGGCTTGCCCCCACCCTGGGGCGGGAGGAACAGGTTGTCCTCCAGGGGAGGGGGCGGCCGCGCCTGCTCAGGCACAAAGGCGTAGTTGGTCTGGCCCTGGCTGGGCCCGGCAGGGACCCCCGCGCCCACGAGGGTGCTGTTGATGGAGCAGATCTCAAAGTCATCCTCATCCTGGGCCACGTCGTCATAGGCGGGCGGGGGGGGCAGCGGGCGTGCGTCCCAGTCCACCACAGGCGTGGGGTGCAGGGGCCGGGGCAGTGCCCGCGTGGGGCTCTGAGGCGGGGTCTCGTCCAGCAGGGAGCAGGCGTCCATGGCCAGCTGCGCCAGGGAGGGCGCGCAGGGCCGTAGGGCCGGGACCACGGGCTCCTCACCGAAGTCGATGAGCGTGACCTCAGCCCCGCTGCCTCGGCTGGCCTTGGTGCCCGGCACCCGCGCCGAGGGCTTCGCCAGCCACAGCCCTCGGGGCAGGCCTGGCTTCCGCAGGCCCAGCCTCTTGAAGTCGCTGGACAAGGGGTCTTGGTCCTCGCTCACAGGGTCATAGGTTGGTTCTGTGATGGAAAGGGAGAGCCCAACAGGAAGGCAGTCAGGCAGGGTCTGGGACACGAGGGGAGGTGGCACGTGGGAGAGAAAGCCAAGTGTCCCCCAGCAACCCTCCACTCCCAACTCCCCCCGAGGTCTGAGGTCAGCCACCGGCGGCCAGGTTCTCAGCGCACCTCCGACCACTCCATCAGGAGGGCGGAACCTGCTCTGCCCGGCAGCCCCATGTGGGCCGGTGAGCCCCGCCTCGCTCCGTCTAAGCTGCAGCAAGCAACACTGGCTCCTGCCTGACGCTGCCTCCACCAGCACAAGACCCCGGCGGCCCTGCTCCTGCGCCCTGGCGAGTTAGTGAGCCCTCATCCCCGCCCCTGTCACGGCACACCATTAGTGCAGGCACGGAGCCGCCTCCTGCCATCAGGGGCTATAAGGACTATCCTTGGAGAGGACAGTACTCCTGACCAACGGCCACAAAGCCCAGACAGCGCCTGCAGGTCTGGGAGGCAGCGAGGCCAAGGCAGAAGCCAGGGCCACACTCGTGCTCCAGAAGCTCAGACAGGTCTGGGAGGGAGTGAGGCCGAGGCGGAAGCCAGGGCCACACTCGTGAGCAGAAGCCCAGGCTCCGGGGGGCGGGCTCGAGGGGGGGCAGGCATGCTAGGCCAGGGCAGCCGCGGAAGCTCACAGCACACACCCACCCACCTCCCCTCCGGCCCAGCCGCCCAGGCTCTGTACCTTCCAGGAGAGGAGTGAGAGAGAGGGGGCGGGGGCGGGGGCCAAGGCATCGGAAGCAGCCCCACTTACTCTGAGTGAAGAAGGCAGGCTGAGGTGGGCGAGGTGGAGGCTCCCCTGCAAGAAAGGCCATGCGGACAGGGGGAGAGAGACGGAGCAGGACAGAGGACAAAGGAGGGAGACGGCCGGACGAGAGGGCAGAGTGTAGAGAGACGAAGGGAGAGAAGTGAATGGGGGCGAGTGAATGTACAAGCCCCCAGCAAACGGGAGGCCGCAGGCGGCAGGATGAGGAACACGGCGGTCCAGTATGATAGGCAGAGGACCGGGAGATGGAGGAGGCCCCAGGCAGAGCCGGAGCCGTGGGGTGGTTTTGGCTTGGGACAGGAGAGCAGGATTAGGGGGAAGTGAGGAAAGCCAGGATCTGAGCTCGGCCGTGGAAGGAGGGAGGAGGGACGCCGGGGCGGACGGGCCTGCTGCAGACCCAGCCCGAGGAGGCCCACCTCGGCGGATACAGCTGCCTGTCTTCCACCCCACGCCCAGCCGGAGCCAGGGACACAGCTGTCCCGCCTGCTGCCCTGACCCCACTGTCCCCAAAAACAGAACAGCAGCCTTAGGGTGGCCTGTGAAGACAGTGCCCCTTCCTGAGTAGCCGATGAGTTAGGGACACCAGGGAGCAGAGGGGCTCTTACTTTTCACCCCTCCTAGATGCTGGGGGGGCCGGGAGGTGCTCAGTTCCACGCTCAGGAGGTCGGGGGGGTCCATGGGGTTTCCCAGATACAGTCTGTGGGGGAGAGAGCTGGGTCAAGAGAGCAGGGGAAGCGTGTGGAGGGGTGGCAGAATCTCATCAGAGCCCCTTCGTCCTGGAGGAAACCGGGTGTAGTCTTGGGTCTGAAGCACAGGCCTCCCGCCTCCCAGTCCACAGAACCTGACCGCACGTCTCAGCTGGGGGGTGTCCTGGAGAGAAGGCAGAGAAAGGACACCTGACCCCAGGATGGAAAGCCTAGGACCTCAGGGACTCCAACTACACCCTACAAGGGCAGAGGTGGTCCTCCACAACCCCCCAGGCCCCCAGCCCACACCAGGCAGCGGCCAGAGGGCAGACACTCCTGTCCCGCAGGCCACGATGGAGGGCCTAAGAACGGGGCATCCCAGCTATGGTGCCCAGCCAGGGTGGGCAGGAGGCACCCTTCTGCCACATGGCCAGGAGGTGCGGGAGAGGCTGGGCCACCTGTCCTGCTCCGGATCCACCCTCCGTCCCTGCACCAACTGTCAGTATCTGAGACTTAGTCACTGGGGCTGATTAAAGCCTGGAGGAATGGGGCTGGGCTGGCCACAGCATGCCAGGAGTGGGGCAGAGGGCACCAGCCTCTCCTGGAGGTGTCTGCAGTCTTTCACCCCAACTCTCAGGCCCTTGCTGGGTTCTTTTTAGGCAAAACACATGGGCTGAGCCCTGTGAGCTTGGGGTTCCAGTGTGTGTGGGCCCGCTGTGTGGGTTCTGGTGTGTGGGGGCCCGCTGTGTGGGTTCTGGTGTGGGGGGACTCGCTGTGTGGGGTTCTGGTGTGTGGGGGCCCGCTGTGTGGGTTCTGGTGTGTGGGGGCCCGCTGTGTGGGGTTCTGGTGTGTGGGGCCCGGTGGGTGAAGGCCCCTGCTTTCCACGCCTCTCAGGGCAGACCAGAGTATCAGAAGTCAGCAGGAGAAGGGCTGCAGAGGCCAGGGGCCTGGAATCCCCCTGCGGCCAGCAGAGAGGCTTGGAGGCCTGGCGCAAGAAGCTTCGGGGGGTGGGGGGTGGCATCCCGGAAGTGACTGATTCTGCGTGTCCTTCCCAGATGCCCCTCGGTGGCCTTATCCTCTTACATAGGAGACAGGGCCTCTCCCAGGTATGGAGTGAGCTCCGTAGAGTACTGTGTGGTGGGGAGGCGGAGCTGCCACCTAACGTTCCCTCTGCAGTCCCCAAGGTCCCCAGTCCCACTCTGGTTCTGGAAAGCAGGCTCACTCCCATGTGGACCTGCATACATCCCCAGGGCCTGAGCCAGCAGGTTCACGTCTCCAGGACTCTGGCACCACCAGCAGGAGAAGGAAAACCACTGCTCGTGTGCAGGGGTCACAGGGTCACAGGGTCACAGGGGGCCACAGGGGGGTCATGGGAGAAGCTCTCCTCCTCAGCAGCTCCCACCGGGTTCCTCCCAAGTTCATTTTCCTAAGGCCCGAGTACCAAGAGGGGTTACAGCTGTGGCTCCGGGGACCTTTCCACCAAACAGGAGTCCATCCTCAGAAGCTCCTGACCCTACTTTCATCTACAGTGAGTGGGAAAGCTTCTCTCAGGACCCCTGCATCTGAGCAGCAAGTGCTAATTCAGAGTGCATTTACAGCCTTCCCCTTATTGGGGGGGTGAACCTGTTTCACAGATGAAGTGTCTCAGAGTTAGGAGATCGGCCCCCCAAAGCTTGAAAATGGCAGGGACAGCATTCCCCTGGAGAACGCTCCCCGGAGAACCCTCCCCTGGAGAACCCTCCCCTGGAGAACATTCCCCTGGAGAACCCTCCCCTGGAGAACCCTCCCCTGGAGAACCCTCCCCTGGAGAACATTCCCCTGGAGAACCCTCCCCTGGAGAACCCTCCCCTGGAGAACACTCCCCTGGAGAACATTCCCCTGGAGAACCCCCACCAGGCTGGGCTTCCTAGGGTTCCACAGCTTCCCGAGAGTAAGGCCAGGGTGAGGAGGGGAGAGTGGCGGGTCGGGGGCTGAAGCCCGGGCGAAAGGGTGAAGAGCAGATTCCGCCCACGCGTGCCGTGCTGAGGGCCCTGGAGTCCCGAGCGGGGCCAGGTCAGCATCCATCCCCGCCCAGTACTCACTCGTCAATCCTGTCCGGGAAGCCCCAGCAGTGGCGGGGGTCACTGTCGCCATGCCCTGTGTGGATGAAGCTGTTCTGCAGGGGCTGGCTGATGTCCTGGGCCGACAGGCCGGCCACGGAGGTCACCACGTTGCGAGGGAAGGGCCCCACACACAGCGTCCGTGTGTTCTGGCCACGCCACCAGTAGTTCTCGGCCCTGCGCGACAGAGATGGCACGGTGAACGCCAGGCGTGGCGGGGCAGCCCCGGCACTGGGACCCTCCTCACACCCTGGCCACTGTGGCAGAAGGGGGATGGAGCTCAGGCCTCAGGACCAGGCTGTGTGCCACCGGCCCTCCTCCCCAACAGCCCCCGTGACCCACCATGCCCCGTACAGGCCTGTTTGCACACGGCCTTACCCACAACTCTCTAGGTGGGTCAGGCAGCTTTCCCTATGGTTTGCAAATAAGGAGGCACGCTGGAAGCTGCTGCAGCAGGCAACATGACCTGTCCACGGTTACCAGAAAGATCCCAGCAGACCTGGGACCCAACGCCAGCTTTCAGGTCTGTGGGGCCAGCGCCCCGCCCACACCTCCTCCTCACCCCTCAGTTCCCTGGCAAGGCCGGGGCCCCAGTCCTCTTCTGGCCACTTGATTTCACTCCTCGGCTGGGTTCCAGGAGTTCTGAGAGGTGCGGGGGTGCCGGGGGACACCTAGGGCCTTGCACTAGGCTGGGGGCCAGGCCTCCAGCTACAACCTGCCTCCCGAATGCAGACGCGGGAGAGTCTAGGAGCACTCGGGCAACTCAGTCCCTCCCTCCACCGCTTCACCTGCTTCCGGAGCTTTCCACCACCTCCCGGAAGGCCTGCGGGAGCCTCCCCGTCTCCTCAGGAGGGGCTCTACCTGTGTCCAAAAGGGAACTCAGCTCTCCCACAGTGACCAGACAGTAGGGCTGCCAGTCCCCCTCTGACCTCAGACACGAAACCTCTGCTGATGTGGCCTAAGCCGGGGCCTGGGCAGGGGCAGGGGCAGGGGCAGGGGCAGGCAGGCCAGGAAGCACAGGGCTCCCGCAAGACACTCCTGACTCCCGAAGGCTCTCACAGGTTGTGAGGCTCCCGCGTCTGCTGCTGGACTTGTCATACGTGATGCCGTGAGCAGAGTCTGGGCAGGCGGGGGCGGTGAGAGCCCCGTGGGCAGTGTCTGGGCAGGCGGGGGCGGTGAGAGCCCCGTGGGCAGTGTCTGGGCAGGCGGGGGCGGTGACAGCCCCGTGGGCAGAGTCTGGGCACGCGGGGGCGGTGACAGCCCAGAGCTGCTAGGGTGGACACGTGTGGCACCACACTGCACGCCCTCCCCACCAACCCCCACTTCTCCTGTCCCAGGGCCAAAGCGTGAAGAAGGGCTCCTCTGAAACCCAGCCAGGCCGGGGAGAGAGGACGGAGGAGGTGGCGACGCCTGGGCACCCAGACCCACAGCCTTGTAAGGTGACGAGGCCTGGCTGGAGCGGGGTGACTCCGGAACAGCCCATCCCAGAGACCAAAGTCAAACCCGAGAGCACCACGGTCGGCGGGGAGGCGGGGGGCGCGGGGCGCGGGGAGACGGGGCTGTGCTCCCCCTGCCCAGCCTCCTCATACACAGGGCCACTGGCCTGGCCCCACCACACACAGCCACCCTGTGATTCCCACCCTGCCTGCAGGGAGGGAAGGAAGGAGAGAGGACAGTACCCCGAGACGAGACGAGTCCCATCTGAAAAATAGCAGGGCCACTCGAAGGAGCAGAGCCCCGGCTCCCCAGCACGCACACAGCCTCCCACGGCGGCCCGTAGAGGAGGAACCCCGGCACCGGCTGGGCTGCGGCTCTCCCGCTACACCCACGGGCTCCCCGGTGGCTGCCGCGGGCCAGACGCCGGACTCTGCTCTCCACACCTCTTCAGAGGCGCTCAGTAACTGGGTGAGAATGCCGCTGAGGCCGAGACCTTGCTCAGAGCAGCGTGACTCGTGCCCAAGGCAGGTCACTCCGTCTGGCCTCTCCCTTCCGCCAACACTGCCCAGCTCCAGGCACAGAAGCCTCCTTTGGGACCCACTTCTGAGAGGGAAAGGAGACATCAAGCCCACCTCCCTTAGTGCAGGTATGGCCGAGGCAAGAGCCCCCATGGCTGCTGGGAGTCCTGACACCACTCGAGAAAACATGCTTGCTCCTGGGGGAAGGAGAGTAAGAGTGCGGAGGACGTGTGCAAGAAGCTCCCCTCGGGATGGCGCCCACGCACACTCCGAGGCACAAGAAACTCCCCCTCGGGATGGCGCCCACGCACGCTCCGAGGCACAAGAAGCTCCCCCTCGGGATGGCGCCCACGCACACTCCGAGGCACAAGAAGCTCCCCTCGGGATGGCGCCCACGCACACTCCGAGGCACAAGAAGCTCCCCTCGGGATGGCGCCCACGCACGCTCCGAGGCACAAGAAACTCTCCCTCGGGATGGCGCCCACGCACGCTCCGAGGCACAGGAAGCTCCCCTCGGGATGGCGCCCACGCACGCTCCGAGGCACAGGAAGCTCCCCTCGGGATGGCGCCCACGCACACTCCGAGGCACAAGAAGCTCCCCTCGGGATGGCGCCCACGCACGCTCCGAGGCACAAGAAACTCCCCCTCGGGATGGCGCCCACGCACGCTCCGAGGCACAAGAAGCTCCCCTCGGGATGGCGCCCACGCACACTCCGAGGCACAAGAAGCTCCCCTCGGGATGGCGCCCACGCACGCTCCGAGGCACAAGAAACTCCCCCTCGGGATGGCGCCCACGCACGCTCGGAGGCACAGGAAGCTCCCCCTCGGGATGGCGCCCACGCACACTCCGAGGCACAAGAAGCTCCCCTCGGGATGGCGCCCACGCACACTCCGAGGCACAAGAAGCTCCCCTCGGGATGGCGCCCACGCACGCTCCGAGGCACAAGAAACTCCCCCTCGGGATGGCGCCCACGCACGCTCCGAGGCACAGGAAGCTCCCCTCGGGATGGCGCCCACGCACGCTCCGAGGCACACGAAGCTCCCCTCGGGATGGCGCCCACGCACGCTCCGAGGCACAAGAAACTCCCCCTCGGGATGGCGCCCACGCACGCTCCGAGGCACAAGAAACTCCCCCTCGGGATGGCGCCCACGCACGCTCCGAGGCACAAGAAGCTCCCCCTCGGGATGGCGCCCACGCACGCTCGGAGGCACAGGAAGCTCCCCCTCGGGATGGCGCCCACGCACACTCCAAGGCAGCTTCATCCCAAGGCTCCAGTGGGACTTCCAAGAGGACCGTGTCACTTCTCGCAGCCCACACGCACCCGTGTGAGGCTCAGTGTGGCCGAGGCACCAGCAGTCCAGAGGGGACTGAGGCCAGCCCTTCCTTCCAGGCCCGCCCTGTCCGCGCCCTCTCTCTCCCGCCATGAACAGGCCGGAGTCCCCGTGGCCATGGGAGGGCCAGGGCTGCTACCCGGCCGTGACTGAAGCAGGGGCGGATGAGGACTTCCTGGGGGAGCAGGAAAAGGGCCCAACACCTCCGCATGAACCTTCTACCTCCTGCTGCCCCCGGGCCTCTGGTCAACATCTCTGGGGTAGACAAGATGGAAAACAGAGGCCGGTGCTGAGAACTGCCTAAGGCTGCCCCAGCTCTGGAAATCTCAGCACCACGTTCCCGTCCGGGCCGAAGGTAGTCCAGAAATGGCTCAACTAATGCCGGACATTCTGTTCAAAACGCCCGCCCGCTCTTCTCCCTAGGGGTCCCAGGCGCCCAGGCCTGGAGGGATAACCCGGATGCCTGGCTCCCACCCACCACAGGAAGCCGAGGCTCCAGGGCCAGACCAGGCCAAGGACCCGCAATGGATTCCAACACCCGCTCTGTATGCGGAACAAAAGTGCTGCCAGCCACCCCTTCCTCCAAACGAGCCCCTGGGAAAGACCAGTCATCATTTGTGTCTCCAAATCTAGACACAGCACGAAACATCTAGGTGTCTCCCCTCTGCCCACAGCCTGGTACCCTGAGAAGGACTGAGCCTAGACTCAGTCAGAGCTGCGGCAGGTGGCCTCCCAGACTCCGCACCAGGAAACAAATACTGGACACAGCTTCGCAAGTGGGAAGCCACGGCGAAGAGAAGGCCAGGCTAGGAGGGAACTCCAAACACAGACCCACAGATGCACACCCAGGCCCAAAGACTCACACAGAGCCATCCGCCTGGAGACATGGAGACGGAGGCAGCCAAACAAACATGGAGATATTCAGGGACTGAAGAAACAAGGGGGCAGAGTCAAGCTCTGCCACCACCGACACCCAGGCCCGCTCCCAAGCCTCACCGGCTGTTGTGGCCTCCTGCCCCTCACCTCCCACCTCCTGAGCAGCTCCAGGCACGGAGGGCAGGTGCTGTGGTTCCAAGCCAGGGCTGGTGGCCCAGGGGGAAGGAGCCCCCAGAGCCCCACCAGCAGCAGCCACAGGGAACCAGCGGCTGGGGCCAACGGGGGCCTTCGACGGAAGGGCGGGGCGGGGCACACCCACAACCCTCCCAGGAGCAGCCGCTCCCGGCCCCTCCCACTGCCCGCCTTGCCCGGGCGGTGACCTAAAACACCAGCTCCAGAGACACACGCCCCAAACACAGGCCACTCTGAGTCACCCCTGGGGACACTGGCAGGCACACAGGCTCCTGCTGAGAGCAAGGGAAGCAGGTGGTAAAGATCTGGGGCTCCGGCAGCAGCACAAGAGGGGCCAGGCCCACGGCTTTCCAGCTCGTGGAGGTGGACACGGTCATGAGGCTGGACTTCGGGCTGGAGGCCCTGCCAGGTACTTCCAGGGGACCCCCCCACCCTTAATCTTCCTATTTCCAGAATGCTCCCCGGAGCGCCACGCTTGCAATCCCATCCCTGGCCCCTCAGCTCCAAACCTGCAGACTGTTTGCCTCCTGTCCCCAGGCCTCTCTTTCTAGAACCTTCTGCATTCTTCCCCAGCATAACACCCCTAACCACAGGCCCTGCAGTCTCAGTATGTCATTCCTATTCCCAGACCCTGGGCCCAAGGGTGAGGGAGCCGGGCCTGGGAAGGCTCGGGGTGTCGGGGCCACAGCGGTGCAGGTCACACTCCACACAGCCCCCCAGGTCTCCTCCACCCACCCCCAAGAGGCACAGGATTGCACCGAAGGCCGCAGACTCCAAAAGCTGCAGTGCAGGTGGAAGAGGCTCCCTGGGAAGCAGCCCTAGCCCCATCCTTGCCTGGCCTGAGTCAGGAGCTGCGAGCACAGGGGATTTCCTCCACTTCACTCTTCTTCCTGGTCCTCAATACTGCCCCTGCCTCAAAGGTACCTGAAACCTGCCCTGCCCCAGCCAGTTGCTCAGACACCCTGGGGATCAGCCAGCACAAGGCAGGGCCAGCAGTGGTGGGGCCTCAGGGCAGGCGCTAGAACTGCGGGGGCTCAGGTGGAAGACAGGGACTCCCGAGAGGCTGTGGGAGGAGGGTTAGGTATAGAGAGGGTCCTCCCAAGGGGAGATGGGAAGAGAGGACCAGAGGCTGGAGGCAGGCCTGGGAGGGGGTGGTGGGCTCAGCAGGAAGGATGGAAAGCTGCAAGAGGGCAGGCTGGGCTGCTTCAGCTACTGAAACGCACCCAGGTGGATGGCTGAGTCCCTGTGCCAGGAAGAAGCAGGGAGAGAAGCGGGGAGGAGCAGAGGAGGAAGCACGGGAGTCCAGAACTCTGCTGCCACCGAGGCCAGGCCACTCCCTACCCCTCCATAAAGGCAGCCTGGCCCAACCACACAGCCAGGGCTGCAGCCCAGTGGGAAAGGGTGGTGGAGGGAAGCTGGGCAGGGAAAGGCACTAGGAAGACGGAGGCAGGCCTGTCCTCCCCTCACACTGCAGGGTTCAGGCCCAACCGCCAGCCTGTATGTGGCCAAGGGAATCTTGGAGGCCAAACAGATCTGTCCACAGGTCCCTCCGACCTGTGCCCTTCAAGCGATCCCAGGGCGGGGCCCAGCCCTGCACTCCCTACCTTCCCTCGATGACGGTGATGACATCATTCATCTGGATGTGCAGCTTGTCCGGTTCCTCAAAGTCCTGAAGGGCCCGCATGTCTGTGGGCTGGGCCTGGAGGAAGAGGAAGGTCGTGGCCAACTCTGGGACTGACGCCTGGGTAGCCCCTCAGCTTGAACACCCCAGCTCTCCTGGGCTGACCTGTCCCTCACCTCCAGCAGGAAGTCCCGCAGGGCCACAAACGTGGGTCTGTCCTCTGGCTTGTGAGCCCAGCACTGGACCATGACGTTGTAGATGTCCTGGGGACAGTCCTCGGGCCGGGGCAGCCGCTCCCCCTCCTTGTCGATCTTATGCAGGATCTGAAGGTGAGGAGGTGCAGAGTTTGACGACAAACAGAGCGCCCAGCCCTTCACTTCCCGCCTTCCCTCCAGCCCATCCACAGCTGCAGCGGCTGCTGCCATGCCTGGCCTCCAAAGAAGGGATCTGCCTGCCTGGGAGGGGCCCTCTCCAGAGCCCCAGTCCCTTCTTCCCAGGTCTGGAGCCTCGGAACAAGTGGATGTGGCAAGGGCTAGAGAAGGAGGGCAGGCCCCAGCTTTTCCCTCCCCGTCTCTTTGCTGGGCTCTCCCTGAGGCCATACAGATACGGGGCGTGAGAGGAGACACGGGGCGTGGTGGGAGGCACGGGAAGTGGGGGGAGGCACGGGGCGTGGGAGGAGGGAGTCCATTGGTGAGAGGCAGTTCCAGCAGGGCCAGGCTGCAAGCAGGGAATGGAATTCACCCCACCAGCCCTATGGGGGCCCGTCTCCCAGCCCTCACCTGACTGCCGTTGAGGCCGATCCAGGGCTCCTGGCCGTAGGTGAACATTTCCCACAGTGTCACCCCGAACATCCAGGTGTCGCTGGCATGGGAGAAGGTGCGTGTCTTCAGGCTCTCGGGGGCACACCTGGCAGAGGCAGGGGTCAAAGAGAAGCCCTCTCAAACACCCTACCTGCGTCCGCCCCAGGGACTTAAAACACTCATGCAGCAAACACTTGTTGTGACCCCCTGTGCCAGGTTCAACAGTGGGTCTCAGGGGCGCCGTGTGAAGCGGGCAGGACCCCTTGACGACACGATGCAGGGACTTGGGGAAATCGTCTAAGCCCAGGCCTCTTATTCACTTGCAGCCTGGTGGGGGAAGAGGAAAGGAAGTTTCCCAGCCAGAGAAGCATGGAAAGGAAGGAGGTCAGAGGCTCTGGGATGGGGCAGGGAGAGAAGATCACAGGCTGTTTTCTGACTGTGGTGGGAGAATGACAATTCCCAGATTTGGGGCGGGATCCTCGGATTTGGGTCCTTTGGCAGGAAGCAGTGGGTGGGAAATTCGGGTAGGGCCTGGGGAAGAACCAAAATGGGTAGAAACAGTCATACTGGCTTCACCCAAATACACCCATTCGTTCTGGGCACCCCCGGTTGAGGGGGAAGTGCCACTGCAGTGAGGTCAGAAAGGACATCCCGGCGTGGACTGAGGTGCAGAGAGGAGGGTGGTGCCCAGACAGGGAAGCAGAGCGAGCCCTGCCCCTCAAAGGGGATGGGGCCGGGAAAGTCACTCGAGATCGCTAAGGTTCATTATCCTCCTTGGTGAAATGAGAACAATAACCCGCCCACTTCATCGTGCTGTTTAAAGGCAACTATATTCATACCTTACCATGCAAACCAGGATGCCTGAATACAAAAGAGGCTGCTCTAAATTACTCCAGGACAACGGGCATAATTTAAGACCTCTGCTCGCCCTGGGTGTAAAGCCAGCTGCTCGTTAAGATGACCATGCGTCCTGGATCATAAGGGTTGCCCACAGCCACCGCTTGGGAAAGCAGAACTGGAACAACCCTTCCCGCCTCAAAGCAGGCAGATCACAGACCTCTGGGTGCCTCTGGCACCAGAGAACCACAATGGTCTCAGCAGAGGATAAGCCCACACAGGGGCCAGGGCAGGGCCAAGTACCACCCCTAGTGCACAGGTAAGCAGCCCTGGCCCATCTACAAGGCCTGCTGTGGCCTGGGCCTGTCTACCACTAGCTCTCCCTAGAACATGCTTACCAACGAGTCTTTCCCTGGCGAACTTCCCTGATGTTTTAGGAAACCTTTGAATACCTCCCCACAGAAATGCCCCTTGGAGAGGACACAGCATCTATCCCTGTAACACCCCCCCAGCAATGCCCCTTGAAGAGGACACAGCATATATCCCTGTATCACCTAACTCAGCAGTGACCCTCGGAGAGGACACAGCATCTATCCCTGTAACACCCCCCCCCCCAGCAATGCCCCTTGGAGAGGACACAGCATCTAACCCTGTAACACCCGCCCCCCAGCAATGCCCCTCGGAGAGGACACAGCATCTATCCCTGTAACACCCCCCCAGCAATGCCCCTTGAAGAGGACACAGCATATATCCCTGTATCACCTAACTCAGCAATGACCCTCGGAGAGGACACAGCATCTATCCCTGTAACACCCCCCCAGCAATGCCCCTTGGAGAGGACACAGCATCTATCCCTGTAACACCCCCCCCAGCAATGCCCCTTGGAGAGGACACAGCATCTATCCCTGTAACACCCCCCCCAGCAATGCCCCTTGGAGAGGACACAGCATCTAACCCTGTAACACCCGCCCCCCAGCAATGCCCCTTGGAGAGGACACAGCATCTATCCCTGTAACACCCCCCCAGCAATGCCCCTTGGAGAGGACACAGCGTCTATCCCTGTAACACCCGCCCCCAGCGATGCCCCTTGGAGAGGACACAGTGTCTATCCCTCTAACACCACCCGCCAGCAATGCCCCTTGAAGAGGACACAGGATCTGTCCCTCTAACACCCCCCCAGCAGTGCCCCTTGGAGAGGACACAGCATCTATCCCTGTAACACCCCCCCAGCAGTGCCCCTTGGAGAGGACACAGCATCTATCCCTGTAACACCCCCCCAGCAATGCCCCTTGGAGAGGACACAGCGTCTATCCCTGTAACACCCGCCCCCAGCGATGCCCCTTGGAGAGGACACAGTGTCTATCCCTCTAACACCACCCGCCAGCAATGCCCCTTGAAGAGGACACAGGATCTGTCCCTCTAACACCCCCCCAGCAGTGCCCCTTGGAGAGGACACAGCATCTATCCCTGTAACACCCCCCCAGCAGTGCCCCTTGGAGAGGACACAGCATCTATCCCTGTAACACCCGCCCCCAGCGATGCCCCTTGGAGAGGACACAGGATCTGTCCCTCTAACACCCCCCCCAGCAACGCCCCTTGGAGAGGACACGGCATCTATCCCTGTAACACCCCCCCCAGCAATGCCCCTTGAAGAGGACACAGCATCTATCCCTGTAACACCCCCCCAGCGATGCCCCTTGAAGAGGACACAGCATCTATCCTTGTAACACCCCCCCCCCAGCAACGCCCTTTGGAGAGGACACAGCATTTATCCCTATAACACCCCCCCGCCAGCAATGCCCCTTGGAGAGGACACAGGATCTATCCCTGAAACACGACCCCCAACAATGCCCCTTGGAGAGGACACAGCATCTATCCCCGTATCACCCCACCCAGCAAAGCCCCTTGGAGAGTCCCACAGCATGTATCCCTGTGATTTCCAGCACCCAGACCCTGGCACGTGGGCCCTCAAGAATTCCTAGATGGATGGTGAGCGAATGGGTGCAAAGGAGGGCACCCCAGGCTTAGAACAGACAAGGGCAGGCCCAAGCAAAACCAGGGGCTGTGGTGGGTCCAGAAAGCCCCAGAAGCTTTGAGGCCTGGGTCTGCAGGGACTCTGTGAGCTGGCAGCACCTGCCCCTCACCAGGCGAAGGGCACCTTGCGATGTTCCTGCATGACGTAATGGTCGTCATTCTGAGGTAGTGCTCGCATCAGCCCAAAGTCCCCGATCTTGACCAGGTCGCGGGTAGCCAACAGCAGATTGCGGGCAGCCAGGTCACGGTGAATAAAGCGCTTGGACTCCAGGTAGCCCATGCCCTCAGCCACCTGCACAGCGTAGCGGCTCAGAGTCCCCAGGAGGAAGTGGCCCTGGTGCTTACGTAGCCGGTCCAACAACGATCCCAGAGGTGCCAGCTCTGTCACCTGAGGCCACGGAGGAGGCAGGAGGAATGAGCTGGAGGACCCTGCCCCTTCTCAGCAGCCCACGCTGGGCCCCCAGTCCCCTTCCTGAAGGCTTTCCAGAGCCAGGCTGCACGCACCTTCCTGGCCTGCTGTCTGGGGACCTCTAGGAGTCCTGCAGTTTCTCAGGCCTCTCCCTCGAGGCAATTTGGGAAACTGATGCCTAGAGAGAAGGAGCCCAAAGAGGCAGTGGCTAGAAATTCCAAAACTCAGCTGGACGTGGTGGCTCACGCCTGTAATCCCAGCACTTTGGGAGGCCGAGGTGGGTGGATCATTTGAGGTCAGGAGTTTGAGACCAGCCTGGCCAACATGGTGAAACCCCGTCTCTACTAAAAATACAAAAATTAGCCAGGCATGGTAGCGCACGGCTGTAATCCCAGCTACTTGGAAGCCTGAGGCAGGAATATCGCGTGAACCCAGGAGGCCGAGGTTGCAGTGAGCCTAGATCATGCCATTGCACTCCAGCCTGGGCGACAAAGTGAGACTCCATCTCAAAATAAATAGATAAATAAAACATAAATTCCCCAAATTAAACTCAGTGGCCAGCCCCTCCCATGGGAGTAACTCTCTTGACACTGAGCACCAGCAAAATCCAGAGACAGACCCGGACTGGACCGCAGCAGACACAGCCCGTACCAGGCTGGGCCCCTGTGGACCCCTTTACTCCATCAGGTTGGGGGACCAAAGTAGGATCTAGGGCGCCTCTGACCTTAGGATGGAGAGAGGAACCGAACCACACATATGGGACCGGAGCCCTCTCCCTGCCCGCCCCCTCCCGCCCGCAGTACTCACCATCTTCATGGGCGGCGTGAGCACCACCCCGTAGAGGCGGATGAGGTTTCGGTGGTCGAGCGAGTGCATGGCATTGACCTCCCGGATGAAGTCGTCCATGGCTTCTGGCTGGCTCAGGACATCGGGCTTCAGGCACTTCACAGCCACACTCACCTGCCCAGAGCGGGATTTGCAAGGACTCAGGACTTGCCAGGTCCCAGACACGCGGAGCCAACCTGCTCCACCCTCCAACTCGGCTCAACGATCCCTGCCTGTGAGCTCCTCATCTGGGTGGGTAAGCATGTCACCAGTGCCTGGGCTTACGTGCTCTGCGTGAGGCCTGGCTGGAGAAGGGCAGACGGCTGGCCCTCAGGAGCCATCGTCGGCCACACCTCCCCTTCCTGGGGGAATGCCGGGCTTAAATACCAACCAAAAAGTAAGAGATAACCAGTATGATGAGAGAATATTCAAATGTTATAAAATGGAATTTTTTTTTTTGAGACAGTCTCGCTCTTGTCGCCCAGGCTGGAATGCAGTGACGTGATCTCAGCTCACTGCAACCTCTGCCTCCCGGGTTCAAGTGATTCTCCTGCCTCAGCCTCCTGAGTAGCTGGGATTACAGGCAGGTGCCACCACGCCTGGCTAATTTTGTATTTTTAGTAGAGATGGGGTTTCTCCATATTGCTCAGGCTGGTCATAAAATGGAATATTAAAAGGTGTTTTGCTGTAGAAGGAAAATGCTGTAAATGTAATGCCAAAAACAAAGCTGTGGAGCTGGAAGTCTGCACAGCGGCTTCCCCGGGAGAAGGATGCACTGAGTGACAGCGGCTTCCCCGGGAGAAGGACGCACTGAGTGGACGGAGAATGAGGAGCCCTCTGAGGTGCTGGGAATGCACCGCACGTGATCTGAGCAGTAAGGACACGGCTGCTGCACAGGAAACAGTCACACCAGAACTGTATGCTGTGGTGACACGTTATCCCTGAGGGGAAAATGTTAAATGCAACGCCGAGAAGAAAGAACAAGATTTTAAAAGCTGTATCCAGAATTTGTATCTTAACTAAATCCAACAAAATACCTAAAGTGGGAGGAAGAGGCTCGGCTTCCTCTGAGTGGTGGGATTACAGGCGATTTTTTTTTTCTTGTTTTTCAAATACTTTCCAAACTTTTATAATAAATTATTTTTATAGTTGAAATAATAAATGTGCTTAGTTAAACCTGAGCATGGGCTGGACGTGGTGGCTCACACCTGTAATCCAAGCACTTTGGGAGGCTAAAGTGGGCAGATCATCTGAGGTCAGGAGTTCGAGACCAGCCTGGCCAACATGGTGAAACCCCGTCTCTACTAAAAATACAAAAATTAACTGAGTGTGGTGGTGCATGCCTGTAATCCCAGCTACTCAGGAGGCTGAGGCAGGAGGATTGCTTGAACCCGGAAAGTGGAGGTTGCAGGAAGCCGAGATCGTGCCTACTGCACTCCAGCCTGGGCGACAGAGCGAGACTCCATCTCAAAAATAAATAAATAAATAAAACCCCAAAAATCCTGAGCACGGACTCTGGGATGAGCCACACTGTGACGCATCCCCAGTCCCATCCACACCCTGGTTGGGGGCAGAAGAGCCACTACCAGCCCCGGGTCCCATGCCTCTGCTGCGCTGGCAGGACACAGAGAGCTCACCGTCTTCCCTGAGGGCGCGTCCCACTCGCCCCTGCGCACCACGCCAAAGGAACCATCACCCAGCTTCTCCAGGAGGCGCAGGTCCTTCTCCCCAATGAGGCAGGTGAGGCTCTGCAGGGGCCCCTCCCCTGCTGGGCCCCCAGGGGCGGGCGAGGTCTTCCGGAAGGTGCTCTGAGAGTGATGAGGTGGGAACTCAGCCTCCAGTCGCTTTCCACTGAACACCTGTTTGAAGGCAGCCGGGGGCCAGATGGAATCCAACACCCCAGGGTCAGTCACTCAGTCCCACCCCGCTGGGTCCACCTGGTGATCCCCGGCTTCGGCTTCCAGATAGGTCCTGGTTTTGCCAAACTGTCAGTGGGGCAGCCTGGCTGGAGGCCCACACTCCGTCCAGGGCACACCCCCAAACATGAACCCAAAGCCTGATGCTGGCCTCAAGGAGGGTGCCAGAAAGAGACCGACAGGCATGCAGCCTGTGGCTGAGCGGCCCCACACCCAGCTGTGTGGAGAGGGAGGGCACCGCCCAGCCAAGGTCGGAGTCTCCTCCCAGTCCTGCCCCACCCTCCCTTCCTGCACCCGCCACCCCGCAGACTCCAGCCCTAACCCGCATCGATGGAGCCGCAGGGGCCCTCCACAGACACCTCCTTGTCCATTTTTAGCCCTGGCCCCTTCTCTGGCCTGACCATTTGGTGCTGTCTGTCTCCACCCTCACCAGGGAGTCGGCTGCCCTTCATCCTGCCCAGGGGAGAGGATAATTTTAGTCTGAGGTTGAACCGTGAGTGTGTGTGTGGTTCAGATGAAGCTAGTCCTTGCTGGGAAGGGGCCTGGGAAGACAGCTGGGTCTCTGGAGGGGCGCCTAGAGCTGAGGGCTGAGACGGAAGGAAAAGTGGAGGAGACTCGGAGGCCAGGGTGGACAGGGAGGAGCCGAAGGTCAAGGGACAGAAGAAAGGAGGCCATGAGGGTCAAAGCTGGCCACGTCGGTCTGACTCGGCCTCCACTGAGGCACCCACAGCCTTGGCTCCAGATTGCAGATTCTTGCCAGCTTGGGTCTCACGCCCCCAGAGCTGGTGGATCCTTATCCGTCTGGGCTAGGGTGCCTCAAATCTGAGGGCCTCTTCTGGCCTCTGCCCTGTGCTTCCTCCCAGTAACTAGAATTCCTTATGTTTGCAAGCAATGTTCAGGTTACAAGACCCTCTACAGCCATTATCTCCGGTGCCTCCTGCAGCCCCGGGAGGTGAGCTGGGCAGTGGGGACCGGTATCATTTCACTGAAGACACAACAAAAATCTGGAGGCCACTGACCGCCCAGGGACCTATCAGGAGCCAGTGGCAGATCCAAGACCCCTAAATCTCAGCAAACCACGCTGCTCTCTTCTCCTGCCTCCACCATCCCGACACTACTCATCCTTCCCTAAAACCCGGGCAAAGGACCAGGACAGTGTTTCCAGGAAAAGCCAAAGGATCCCAAGAGACAGCCCCTTTGCCGGATTGCAGCCAGGAAAATCTCTGCTGCCCAATCCCACTGCAGCTGTTCGGCCCTGCCCACCCCCCAACCCAGCCCTGAAGCCAGAAGTGGGGAGGAAAGACCACGGCTGGCTCACTTCCTCTCTCATTGTCTTCCAGACAATGGGCAAAGTTCCACTGAGTCAGACCAGGGACTCACTACACCACAGACCCAAATTAGGACAAGGTGTGGGGAGAGGTGGGGACAGGCTGTGGGGAAGGAAGCTGTCAGCAGGGACAGATGACCAGAGAAACCCAGAGATTAGAGAGGGTCAGGGAGGAGGGAAGCCAAGCAAAGACGTTCTGGGTCCAGACAGGTCCACCACCCCACGCTGGACACTGGCCCCAACGCTCAGACACAGCAGGGCTAAGTTAAGGCACACTTGTCAATGAGGTCCTGTTCCAGGCGTGCCGAGAGGGGCTGTGAAGGCCTCACCGCACACAGGCTGCTCACGTGTCCGTATCTGGCGGAGACAGACACTTAGCCCAGCAGCTCTACAAGTGCCCTGCCCGATAAGACCCTGGACGAGGGGGTCCTGTACAAAGTGCCGGCAGAACGGCGAGATTCGACCTGCCGGGGAGCTGGGGAAGGTTCCCAGGACCAGAAGCGGAGGGGGGCGTTCGAGGCTGCCCCCCTCCCACCTCCTCACCCACCTCCTCACCCACCTTACTCATCCACGACTTGCGTTTGCACAAGGCCTTCCTCCTCTTCACAGCCTCCCACAGCCGCCGCTGGCCTGCAGGGAGAGCGGGGAACCGCGTGCTGTGAAGGCCGCCGTAGCCCGAGAGAGGCTGCTGCCTGTGGTCCCCTTGGGGGTGAGCCTGTCACTAGACACCGCCCACCCGATGATAGCAATGAAATCAACCCCAACTAACCCGGAGCCTCAACTGACCGACGGTCTCTGCACTCCACTTCCTGGCACTGGCTCTCAAACTGGGTGAAGGTGTTTAACCAAAAACTTGAAGCGATGGGCTTCTCCCAGTTCTCAGGAAAAATCAAGGTAATGAACAGAATTTTCTCAATGTTGAGGTTTTTTTCCCTCCGTAAAATTTTTTTATGCTACTGGCATCAGACACCAACTATCCAGGCCTAAAGTAGCATAAATCAATGTCTAACTTAGCACATTACTACCTATTTAGCTATTTTAACTAAGTCAGTGTCTAACTTGACACGTTATTACCTATTTAGCTATTTTAACTAAGTCAGTGTCTAACTTGACACATTATTACCTATTTAGCTATTTTAACTAAGTCAGTGTCTAACTTGACACATTATTACCTATTTAGCTATTTTAACTTGAAAGCCCTAATACGTTTCTAATGTTCTATGAAGAACATCATGACTTTTAGATGCTACAACCCCCACTTTTAGGAAAAATATGAAGATAAGGGTTGAACTCAAATCAGAGCAAACCTGTGTGTATGTGCGTGTGTGTGCACACGCGTGTGCGCACGTGTGTGCGTCTGCGCGCGTGTGTGTACATGTGTGTATGCCGTGCGTGTGCATGCGGGTGTGCGCACACACGTGTGTGTGTGTGTGCGTGTCTGTGTGCGCAGGCGTGTGAGCGCGTGCGTACGCACGTGCATGCGTGTGTGCACGTGCATGCGTGCGTGCACGTGTGTGCGCATGTGCGTGTGTGCCTGCGTGTGTGTGTGTGTGTGTGTATGCCTGTGCGTGTGCATGCGTGTGTGCGTGTGAGAGAGCAAGAAAGAGAGCGTGAGCACGAATCAGCAAACCATCTGAGAGTTAGCGTTCTCCCTACAGATCTCTGCACATGGACCCCCCGGTAGTCAGAATGATGAGAACAGACTCAATTCGATGCTTATGAAGGAGGGGCAATGGAGGACATACACTCTACGTGAGAACAATCACAACGGGGCATGGAGTGACTCCTGTGTAGCCAGCTTTAGGGAAGGCCTCACTCTCCTCAAACTCCAATTCACCTTTATAACTGCCAACTGTTCTCATCACACATCAGCACCTACTGATGTCCCTCCTGCTCCCTCAGGGCTCTGGGACAGAGTTCTCAGCTGCCACCCGTGCACCGAGTGGTCCTGAGGACAGAGGACGGAAAGGGTCAGGGGCAAGACAAGCCAGGCCAACATCCCACCTACCAGGCCGACCCATGCCGATCTTCTCCAGGTCCTCATTCTTGACGTACTCAAAGTGGGACAGGCGGGTGACGTTGAGGTCATCTCGGAGCCGCAGGAAGTACTGTTGCAGCTGCACCTCGGACAGCAGCTCCAGCAGCCAGCCTGTGCCCTCCTCTGGCTGCATTCTGCCGCCTCCCAGCCTCTGTGGGGGGAGGAGTGGCTCAGGGACAAGGGTTGTGGGGGGACAACAGGGGCCTGCCCGAGTGACCTGGGCTCACCTTCATCCCACTACACGGCCACCCGGAAGGGCTCACACCACCTTCTGACTCCCGAGGGAAGCTACCGAGAACCGCCTGGACCCACGTCCCCTATTCCTGCCAGCCACAGGGCACAATTAGGGCGGCGGAGATACAGCCCTGGCCCTGGAGTCAGGAGTCAGGGTCTTGCTCCCGAAATGTGATCTGTGACTGAGTGACCCAAGATCAACCTGTGCTCACATTCCTGCTCTAAGTTTCTAGGGGTCGAAAGTCCTTGAAAATCTTTTAAAAACTAACAGTGGTCTCTCCGGGAACACCGACGTGTTCTTACTCCTAATATTTGATAAAAATCTCTAGGGTGCAATGTGCCCCGAGACCCATCTATGGGCTCCTTAGATGTGACGGAGAAAACTCTCAGGGTCAGATGAGCTCTAAGCTAAGTTCCTCCCAGCGCCTGACCACCCCAGCCTCTCCTAACAATCCAAAGACCACTCCACGGGCCACCACTCAAGTGCCTACAGGGCCACAGCAAGCGGAAGACAGGAGGGAGGGGTGGGGCCTGCGGTGGGCTCGCAGACACCCCTGTCAACAGGGAGCTCAGATCCCATCAATGGTTGTCAGAAGAAACTGTGGCCCAGTGTTGTCAAAGCTTTCCATTTTTTCAAGAAATAAATCCCAATTTACATGTGAAATCTCACCATTAAAGTTTGGAAAAGGTAATATATGCACGTGGTAAAATATTCAGAAGGCACACTGAGCCACGAATCTCATTCCCTCCCCAGCTGCACAGCCACCCGGCTCCCCAGGAGTTGCCAGTGATGTCTTCTGCGGACGCTTCAGACTCTGTTGTCCCTACACGAATATTCACGCATTAACCATACCATTCTGTTCCCTGATTTCACTTAATATTCGTCTTTCTCCTGACTTTTTAACAATGCTGAATAGTTCAGATCTGAAAAGCATGCACACGCACACACAGCGTGCTGGCCAAAGCACACTGCAGGCCGCAATCAGCCAGTGGTACCGGAGAGTGACCTCTGACCTACACTATCCTGGGCCCAGATAAAGAAGCTGGTGGCACCTTCAAAGCTAAGCAAGCGGACCCACCGCACAGCAAACCCATCCCTGTCTGCGTAAGGTGTGTCAGAGCTGAGGGCGTGGCCAGGCTAGCCCCGGACCCATGCTCAATCCCCAAAGAGGAACAGGCGAGAGAAAAAAGGCCAGCTGCCCGGCTGGGGACCAAGCCATCCCCCTCCCCCACTCAGCGGTGGCCTCCTCCCCAGCTCCCATCACAGTGAGCAGCACTGAGAAGCAGGCACACACAGCCTGGGCCCAGCGTGAGCCTCCTGCCCCCACAGTTCCCAGTGGCCCTGCCAACACAGTGCCAGTTCCGACTTTTTCAGGCAGCTCAGGGAAGTACAAAGAGTAACAAAGGGGAATGAGAAACTCTCAGTTCAAATCCTGGCTCTTCCACCTCGGCGACCGGGCCAGGCAGCTGGGCCAGCCGGGTGGTTTCCAAACTTAAAGCTGTAACCCTTTACTGGAATGGTTCTCATGAGGCTGCACAGCCCCCTATGGGACAGTTCTGGTTGCCACAACATTTGGGGGGGCCTTAGTGACATTCAGTGGGTGGTTGGGGGACAAGAGCGTGAGCTAGCCTGCAATGCGTAGGACATTCTCGCACTGTCCCAAATCCCACACAACTCAATTCATGAAGGTGTTTATGATCATGCAAACCTAGAATATGATCCCACTTTATATATAAATAAGAAAGTACTTTTATAGTTTTTTGGTTTTTTTTTTTTTTTTTTTTGAGACAGAGTGAGACTCCCAGGCTGGAGTACAATGGTATGATCTTGGCTCATTGCAAACTCAGCCTCCCGGGTTCAGGCAATTCTCCCGCCTCAGCCTCCCAAGAAGCTGGGATCACAGGCGCCCGGCTAATTTTTGTATTTTTAGTGGAGACAGGGTTCCTCCATGTTGGCCAGGCTGGTCTCGAACTCCTGAGCTCAAGTGATCCACCTGCCCTGGCCTCCCAAAGTGCTGGGGAGCCACTGCTCCTGGCCTTACAGTTTTAATATAAAATAAATTTTCCTGGAATGAAACTACTGTGTAAACTTAAGGGAAAATGGACTTTGCTTTATTCAGAACATAGCAGAAGTCCACTATTTGCAAAAATGTCAGTGAAGGCAACCCCCTCTCATTATTTCAAAACTCCCCTCTCGGTCAGCACTTGCAGATGCTGCCTTCACGGTGTTTCCACCTGAGGTCTCAAGATCTGACTCCTCACTACATTGTCTAGGTTACTAACGTATTAGGATACATAAAATATTATTACCTTCCTCTTATGTCTCTTTATATTAGAGTTCCCACTGTGTTGCTTGTTTCACTGTACACAGGTTAACATGTTAATATAACAGGTTATATATTTCTATTAACTTTATTTAAGACAAGTAACAATAAAAATAACATCTAGGCCAAGCACAGTGGCTCACAGCTGTAATCCCAGCACTTAGGCTGAGGTGGGCGGATCACCTGAGTTCGAGACCAGCCTGACCAACATGGAGAAACCCCATCTCTACTGAAAATAGAAAATTAGCCGGGCCTGGTGGCACATGCCTGTAATCTCAGCTACTCAGGAGGCTGAGGCAGGAGAATCACTTGAACCCGGGAGGCGGAGGCTGTGGTGAGCCAAGATCGTGCCATTGCACTCCAGCCTGGGCAACAAGAGCAAAACTCCATCTCAAAATAAAATAAAATCTAACACTTCAACTGCACTTACTATATGCGAGGAACAGTTCTAAGTATTAAGCTGTATTCATTTATCCTCAACAAAATCATCTGTTTACAAAACAAGAGGCGTGGGGTTTAAGAGGACCAGGCGTCGTGGCTTTCCGGAAGCAAGCCCAGAGGCACACTAGGAGTCACGGGCCTAGGCAGCGTCTCCTCTCCACCCGGCCACGGCCACCGCTGCCCTGTCCCTGGAGCAAAGTGACCCCCCCCCTCCAGGGCTCAGCCTCAGGATGGAGGCTCCTAGTCTCCCGCAGGGAGAGCAGTCTCCAGGGCTCCTCTTCTTTTTCCCACCACCAACTCCCAAGGATCCAGGCCCCCTCCTCTAGGCTCCTGAAAACAGCTCAAAGCCATGCCCGGGGTGGTCAGGGCTGGGGGAGACCCAGAGGCCCCTCCCCTGAAGCTCTTCAGAAAGCACAGCCCGGCCTGTTCCCTCTCCCTGAAACACCAGCTAATGCACCTCTGTTCAGCTGTGCACTCCATGCTCCCTGACCCAGCAACAGCGCAGCTCTGCACAGGGGATGCATGTGGGAGGACGGGAAGGAACTCCGGGATGCTGGTGAGGCAAGCGGTCAGGGTCTCAGTCCAGGGTGACTCCGCAGGGGTCCGCCTCCCCTCTAAGTCCCCCTCCAGCCCAAGGTTCTTTGTGCAGCACAGGGCATGGCTGCAGCTCCTCCAGAGTTCAAACACTCTCCAATTCTGCATGGTCCTGGCCCCCGCACCTCATGGAGTCTGCACACCTGTGTCCGTCACTACTCTGTGGCCGGCGTGCAAACACACAGGCCAAGAAGAAGGAATGCAGCAGCCGCAGGAGAGGCCACTTGGCCCGGACTCCCCGTCAAGCCCTCACTGGCGGGGTCCCTCAGCCGCTCCCAGTCTTGCTTTCTGCCTCTCAGTCAAGTGCTGGTGCTGAGGAGCCCAACCAGTCCCCAGCAGTCCAGCCCCTGCCCCCCACTCACTGTGTACAGGCGTCGCCGCAGTCTGGCCAGGAGAGGGAAGGAGAGCTCCAGGCCAGGGAACCGACGTGCTGCCGGCATCTCCACGCAGCGGGACCCCCCCGAGCAGTCACTGGGGATCCAGTGGCCTCGGCTCCGGAGCTTCGCACTCTGCCCAGGAGCCCCCCAAATCCCACACCAGGGGTGGGAAATGAGGAAGAACGGGGTGGGCCCCTCCGCTCTGCTGCAAGCCCCGCTGGGTTTCCACAGCTGGCCGGTCTGGCAGGGAGCAGAGCTTTCCTCACGCTGGCTGCAGCCGGGATCCTCTGTCCTGTTTCTGTCTTCTCTCCAGGGCAGTGGTCACAGTCCAGCCCTACTCCCCGGCTTCCCCACCCAACTGCCCGCCCGGCCGCCCTCCCTCTTGCCTGCCTCTCTCTCTCCCTCTCTCCCTCCCTCCCCAGCTGAGCAGCTCTGACACTGGCTGAAAAAGGACCTTTCTGAATCACTGCCAAGAGGGCGGCAGGAATGGGGGGGACTCTTCCTCCCAGCCACCCGCGCTGGCCCCCCTGCCTCCCCATACACAAAGCTCCTGTCTCTGGCTTCTACCCCAGCCCTCACAGTTGCAGACAACTCCTGGGACTTTAGGGTGGCGGCTATGTGACTCAAACAGCACGTATGAAGCAGGGCTGTGGACTCCCTCATGGACCTGTGTGGGGACGTGGGGACTAACACACAGCCTGAGTGGGAGGCTTGGACCCCAGAGGCTCCGCTGGGCCCTGCGATGACTCCTCAGAGACCCTCCCCCACCCCCGAGTCCCAGCCTTGGCTGGGTGTCTCCTGGCTCAGACCCTGATGTGGCCCTGTTACCCTGGTGCCCGACGGAAATAGGCGGCCGGCAGCCTGCCAGAGTGGGGCAGTCCAGCCAAGAGCAAGGGTAGGGTGGGGTGAGGATCCTCACCCCCTCCCCTGGGGTGGCCCTGTCTGCTGCCCAAACACCCAGGGTGCCTCCTACTCAGACCAGGTGGCCAAGTTCCCAAACCCGCTCAAAACAAACAAATATGCCCTGAGACTCCTGCTGGGACGCCCCCACCCCAAAGCTGTAGGATGTCTCCTGTATAACCCCTGACACAGACCACGGCCTCAGATTAAGGGGCCTAGAGACACTCCATCAAGCCCCCGTGGGGCCCTCATGTTTCTAGAACTGACAAATGATCTCTCTGGCCCTCCTCAAAGGGTGCCAGCTGCTCTTACACCCCCCTCGCTACGGCCCCCAGACACACCTGACAGCTGCAGGAAGCCCTCTCCAGCTCCCCAGGCACCCCCCTCCCTGCTGAGCCATGCCTAGGGAGCCCCTGTTTCTTGCACACTGCTCTCTTGTCCCTGTCCAGCTGGCCACCAGCTCAGGGAGCCTCAGCTGGCTGGAGGGGTGGGCAGCTGGGGAGCAGGGCTTTGGGGACTCAGCATCCCAGGCTCCCTTCCCAGGGCCTCTCCCAGCACTTGACCTCCCTGATGATGCCAAAAGGGACAGCCATTTCCTGGTCTAACTCCAGGAGGTGGGGAGAAGGACACCCCCAACTTCAGTCCCTCTTCCTCATCCCCCTGCCATCCAGCCCACAAAGCTTGTGGAGATGGCAGGTGTGGATGGAGTGGGGGCTGAGGTCAGGTGGACAAGATCAGGCCTGCGTTACACTGGAGCTGACTTTTCCCCAAACCTTGGCTGACTGTGCCCTTGCATCAGAGAAGCCTACAGCCTTACCCTGGCACCAAGCACACCTGGAAGGAGACCCAGGGACCGGGGGCCGGGGAACAATTTAAGCAGGGTTATTCCCTCTATTTCAAAATGGGTCTGCTGGATCAGAATGGCCAGATTAAAAACTCTAGCGTCCCCAGAAATATGTGTCTCAAAGTCACCAGAACCCCATGCCTGACCTTGGATGTCCAGTAAGAACAAGACCTGTAACTGGCCCAGTAATCCAGCTGCGGGAAGAAGCAAAGTATGTGTGGGTCAGCGCCAGGCCGGCTCCTGGAACCCCCACCCCCTTTTTTTTTTTGAGAGTCTTGCTCTATCGCCCAGGCTTGAGTGCAGTGGCGCGATCCCGGGTTCAAGTGATTCTCCTGCCTCAGCCTCCCGAGTAGCTGGGATTACAGGCCCCCGCCACCGTGCCCAGCTATTTTTTTTTTTTCCGCCATGTTGGCCAGGCTGGTCCCGAATTCCTGACCTCAGCGTCCTCGTCTCAGGTGATCTGCCCGCCTCGGCCTCCCAAAGTGCTGAGATGACAGGCGTGAGCCACCGCGCCCGGCCCGGCCCGGCCCCCTTTCTCCTCGCCCAGGAAAACAGCCCGACCTTAAGCCCCAACGCTCCTACCGAGTCCCCCTTTCTCCTGTCAGCTACTGCCCTCTGCCGGTCGGGAGAGGAAGTGCGTTCTCTCCAAGGGGAAGGGAAGCTACCCCATCCATCAACACCGTGACCATATTTTCAAAAGCAAACAAGGACATCTGGCTTGATATTCATATTCAGAAGCCTAGTAAACGGGAATGCCCAGGACATACAGACTCAGTTCTCCTAAAAGACTGAACCCCAATCCTAGCAGTACTTCCTGGACTCCCTTGGGGCATGGAAGAAAGCCCAACGGGCAGCTTTTTGGGGTCCCAGGGGATCCATGCACACACAGGCAGATGCCAGCATCACTAAGTCACCACCGCCACACCCACATAAACACACCGCTCTCTGTCCCCTGGCCCAGGAGCAGACACTCTCACTCCTGAGGCCGCCGCAGGGGGCAGGGCTGAGCCCGGCTCACAGCAGACGAAGGGGTCTGGGGCCCAGGTATCTGGCTATCCCCTAGCCTTCCCCATTACCTGCGGTCCCTCCTCGCCCCCAGCCAGGCGCTGGTAAGCAGATCTCTCCCCCATGGAGCCCCAAATCCCAGCGGCTGCGGTCAGGGAGAGAAGCAGCGCCCGCAGCCCCCGCCCCGCAGCGGCACCGGCAGCGTCACTGCCCTGCGTCCTGGGGGGCCGGGCCTCGAGCATCCTCCAGAAGTGCAGGGCCGCTACTGCGTCTCAGCCCCCATAGCCTCATCCGCCATCGGCCGGCGGCCGGGTGGTCGCGCCCCTCCTCCTGCCGGCCTGCGGCCATTCCCTCCTGCAGCCCGTCCCAGCTCCGTTCCTCCTCTCCGGGGCGCGGCTCCCACCCTCTCCCAGTGAGCCAGCTGTGCCAGCCCCGGGCTGACCCCCACCGAGAGCCGGGGCTCTGCCTTCGCCGGCCGCGGAACCGGGCTCCACTCAGCCCTCAGCCCGCCTCCAGGGCCCCAGAGCCACCAACTGGGGCCTTGGGGATTCACGAGTCCCCCGTATTCACGGTAAGGGGCCATCCGAGAAGCCCACAGCAGAGGGGCCTCCGTCCGACTCCATCTGAGACCCCCTCCTCCGAGGCATCCCGGGGCTGCAGCCCACCCCGCCCCCAGCCTGCCCCGGCGGCCACTCTGCTCCCAGAACGCCGGGCGCCCACCTGCCCCGCAGCTCGGCCCTGCGCTCAGCCGGCTCCGCGCCGCCTCCCAGCGCCCGCCTCCCGCGCAGGCCACGCCCCCGCCCCGAGGCCCCCGCGGCCGGTTCCCCGCGCGCCACTCCCGCAACGCCGCACGCGCTGTGCGCTGGGCACGCACTGACCTCCTTGACTTCAGAGCGGTGACACGAGGGCCCGGACTCCTGCTCAAAAGCCGCCCAACACAGGCCCACGCGGGGGTGCCGCGCCCAGCACTGGCGCGAGGCCATCGCCGGCACAGGAAGTCCCAGGGCAGAGGCTCTTCCTCTCCCCCGGGGCCCCAAGGCACCGCTTCTCATTCTGGTGGCATCTGAAGCAGCCACTGACTCTTTAGTACCAGGTATTTAGGGCTGAGCTCAGGGCACCTTCCCTGGGTTGGGGCAGAGGAGAGACAGATGCTGTGACCTCTCCTCCCCACGCAGCGTCAAGGCTGAGCCAGACCCTGGAAGGTCACTAGGTGAGGCTCCCTCTACGGCCCACTCTCCTCACACAGCCCCTTCCACACCCCAAGCACACCAGGGTAGGTGGATGACTGCCGGCGAGGCCCCCGAACGCCTGCTTCTATGCTGTACAGAAGCTCCTCGGCATCTTACTGCAGCTAAAGGCACATACTAGTCTTGGGAGTAGCTGCAAAGCCGGGAGACTGTAGAAGGCAAGGCAGAAAATACCAGGCCCCTCCCTTCTTGCCCTGGCTGGATAAAGGATCTGATCCAAACCAGTGCCCTTTCCTGCTTTCTCCCTGCCTCACCTCCCCCTGTAAATCTCTGGCGTCCTAGTACCATCCTATCGTAAGACATCCACAGGATCTAAACTACCTCTAGGAGTTCGAGAATCCACCCCACGTGTACACCCCCTCTGCTCTTCACTTGTCTCTTTATATCTCCACTCTGCAGAGCTAAAGGAAACAAGAGGCTGGAAACCAGCCCAGCTCTGCTGTCCATTCCCCTCTCCAGCCTCTCCAACTGCATGCGAAGTGACAAATCCACACCAAGGCGCAGACATGACAGGCAATTTCCGGCCAAGAGGATTTTTCCAAAACAATCTACCGTATTCTCAGGAATATATGCCAACCCTACCTCCCAGCCCGCCCTCTCCCACCTCCACCTACCTCTTCTCCAAGCCCTGAAGGAAAAAAGAACATACTGATGAGGAGAGGGGGGCTTACAGCTCCTCCCCCAGCCAGAGGATTATCTTGCTTCCACATGTCAGCCCCACCAAGTTTAGTCAGCCTTAACTCACCCCTCTGTGCGCAGAGCCCAGGCTTCTGGAGCAAGGCCAGGCTGGGTGCCCTCAGAACCTCATCCCAGAGGAACCTGCACCAGGCAACCCTGCACCTTCAGGTCGGCTGGGCCTGACATCACACTGGTCTGGGGAGGAGGCTGGCCAGGGCCCAAGAAAGAAAAGGGAGTGATTCAGACACACGCCATGACTGTCCATAGTCTCTCCATCTCCAGGACACGGGGGCCCACTCCCTCCCAGGGGGGCCTGGCAGCTGAGGTCCTGAGGGCAGGCAAGGCTGTGTCTGCTGGCAGTGCTAGGCCCATGGTCCAGCCCTGAAGCCTCTTCACCCCACATGTTTTTTGTTTGTTTGTTTGAGATAGGATCTCACTGTGCCCTAGACTGGAGTGCAGTGGTGCGATCTTGGCTCACTGCAACCTCTGCCTCGCAGGCTCAAGCAATCCTCCTGCCTCCATCTCCTGAGTAGCTGGGATTACAGGCGTGCACTATCACACCCAGCTAATTTTTGTATTTTTTGTAGAGATGAGGTTTCGTCATGTTGCCCAGGTTGGTCTCAAACTCCTGGGCTCAAGCATTCTACCAGCCTTGCTCTCTCAAAGTGCTGGGATTACAGGCATGAGCCACTGCGCCTGCCCACCCCCTCACCCCCCCACCCCCCCCCCACCCCCCGCCCCCAGCTTCTTAACTGTTGGTATTTCCTAAGACTTTTGAACTCATGTTTCCTTCTATTCTCCACTGATGCTGTGCTCCCTGGGGTCACCTATGCCTCCAGGGACTCCTATTACCACCTTGTGCTATCTCCATTCCTGAATTCCTGTGGCTCCAGACCCGCATTTCCAGACATTTACAGGGCAGCTCCACCAGGAGGCTGCACAGGTACCACACATTGCATATCCAAACTGGGCTCAGCATCACCCCTTAAACTCTGCTTCTGCGCTCCTGTATCCCGCTGAAAACATCACAAGCCAACACTAGCCACCCGAGGTAGAAACCACACCCCACCACGGACCCCCAACCAAGACTCCTCCTCCGTCCTCCACCTTCTCCACCAGACACACCGGTCGGGCTGCTTCAACCGCCTCAGACTTCCTCCCAACGGTGACAATGAGATCAGGAGTCAGGCAGATGGGGGCTGAAATCCTGACTCCATCACGCTCCAGCTGGGCAACTTTTGAGCAAACAACCTCTAAGCCTCAATTTCCTCATCTGTAAAGAGGGGAAAAATGGAATCCCCATCATAAAACTGTCATGAAGAGTCCACCACGGCACCTGGCTGCCTGCTGTTACTATGGGCCCTTCCCTCAGTCCTCGAGGGCCCAATCCTGGCTGGCACGCACGCCCTCTGGGCTGCACTCCTCACCTAGTTCCCCACCTCTCTCTCTTAGCATTCCCTTCAAATGTCTCTATGTCCCAGCCAAGCCAAGTGTTTGCCCTTCCCTAGACATACTCTGGGGTTCTTCTTGTTTTTTGTTTTTAAGAGACTGGGTCTTGCTCTGTTGCCCAGGCTGGAGTGCAGTGGTGTGACCATGGCTCATTTTAATTTTGAACTCCTGGGCTCAAGTGACCCTCCCACCTCAGCCTCCTGAGTAGCTGGGATGACAAGCACCAGCCACCATGTCCGGATGCCCTTTAATTTTAATGTCTGCGGCTGGGCCCGGTGGCTCACGTCTGTAATCCCAGCACTTTGGGAGGCCAAGGCAGGCGGATCACCTGAGGTCAGGAGTTCGAGACCAGCCTGGCCAATATGGTGAAACCCCATCTCTACTAAAAAATATAAAAATTAGCCGGGCGTGGTGGCGGGCACCTGCAGTCCCAGCTACTCGGGAGGCTGAGGCAGGAGAATGGCGTGAACCCGGGAGGCGGAGGTTGCAGTGAGCCAAGATCGTACCACTGCACTCCAGCCTGGGCGACAGAGAGACTCCGTCTCAATAAATAAATAATAAAAAAATAATTTTAATGTCTGAGCTATTTTTTGTCTGTGACACTTCTACTGTGTCTACATGATAAACTCCCACACACTCCTCAAGATCCAAGTCAAATGCCATCTCTTCTGTAAATTCCCATTTCCTAGCCACAAATGGTTATCTCTGCTGTTTTGTTGGAGGGATGCTTGAAAACATGAGTAGTAAAACTACACAATAATACATGTGAAAAATAGCCAAAATAATTTTTTTTTTTTGAGATGGAGTCTTGCTCTGTTGCCAGGCTGGAGTGCCATGGCGCGATCTCGGCTGACTGCAACCTCTGCCTCCCGGGTTTAAGCGATTCTCCTGCCTCAGCCTCCCAAGTAGCTGAGATTACAAGTGTGCGCCACCACGCCCAGCTAATTTTTATATTTTTAGTAGAGTTGAGACGGGGTTTCACCCTGTTGGCCAGGATGGTCTCGATCTCCTGACCTCATGATCCGCCCACCTCAGCCGCCCACAGGGCTGAGATTATAGGCGTGAGCCACTGCGCCCGGCCAAGAATTTTAAAAAGTTTAAATTATCCATCACGTTCCTATCCTTAAAGGGTCACTATTCCTGTAACTCTTTGTATCAGCACATAATTGTGCTGAAGGAGCGGTCTGTATACCTCTGCTGTGGTCTGTACATCGTAAGGGAACCATCTGTCCACATCTGTCGCCCTGAAGGGAGAACCTGGCAGGGGCCCTGGGTGTGTCTGCTGAGAAGGACTCAGTCTTTGTGAGGAACACTGGAGAACGGTGGCTGCTTCTTCCCCCGTGAGCTGCTGCCAGGTTGCTTTCCCAGTGGGTGCCAGGAACAAGCCTGGTTGCCCTCTCCCAGCCCCGGCTTTGCCTCCCCCCATGATTTCTAATCCAGAGACGCCAGCACCTTTCTGGGAAGAGGGGCTGTCCATGTCATCACAACCACTCCGACCCCAGACCCACTAAGCAACTCAGTCCCCCAAAGCCATCTCAGAACCAGAACAACTCAGCCAGTCCCTCAGGCAGAGGGAGAGCCTGACATTGGTCTTAAGGAAGGTGCCTTCTCATCGGACTGCGAAGGGGTGCTGGGGCGCGGGCTGCCACACAGGGTGATGGGAAGGGGGCCTGGGTCTGTCAGGATCCCAGCTCACCGAGAGAGAGGAGGGGAACAGGCAGGTGCCAGGGTGGGAGGGCAGAGCACAGAGGCAGAGGCAGACACACCAGGCAGGGCCCTGCTATGCCTCGTCCCCTCCAACTCCAGTGGAGAAGGGAATGTCACTTGAGAGAGGAGGGGTGAGGATCTGACTAAACAGCGTGACCCAGTCCACACTGAACCTGAGGCTGACTGGACTTGGTGGGGCTGACACGTGGAGACAAGAGCATCCATCTGTATCAAGTCTTGAAAGTACTGTGAAACCGTTTCATGCTCCGCCAGCTGAAGACCGGAGTGTCAACGCCGACACAAAGAGACAGTACACTGAGGGCCCTAATGTGCTCCTGGACCATCGCTCCCCAACACAGACACCAGCAGCAGTGGGTGGCAGAGGACACATTGCTGCAGCTGTCTGGGTCTCACTCCCATGCACGCCACACATGCCCAGGTGCCGAGGCCAGGACACGAGTGCCGCAGAGAGCTGCCTCTCGTTGCCTGTCCTGCCCATGCACTGTCACGGCACGGGGGCCCAGAGGGAAGGATGTGGTCTAGCTCCCAGCAGCTAGCCACTCCCAGAGAGAGCTCTTCCAGGGCTGGGCAGAGGCTGCCCGGCTCGTCATCCTGCCTGCTGCCAGCTCAGGCCATACCCCACCCCCAAGCCCTACGCAAGAGTCCAGAGCTGAAGGGGCCTATTGTTGGCCCTGGAGGTGGAGTGTGGAAAGAAGGAGTGGAGAGGAGATGCCAGAGCTGGGAAGTGAACATTCAGTCTACAAGATACACTGCTCATTCCCTCAGGACCATGTCTACACCAAGACCCAGGAGCTGGGAACATGTCACCTAGAGCAGGCCGCAGGGCCCAGGAGAGCCTGGGAGCCAGAGAAATGTCCGGTGCTTCAAGACATACACCTTAAATCCCACTGGACCCTGCTCACCATCTGACCTTGAAGAGCCCGGGACCCTCAAAGGGGAAGGGGCGTGCCTGGTCCAAGGTACCAGGAAGCTGTCATCGGGAATGGAGGCTCATGGAGGCTCAGGATCTGGGGGAGGGCAAATGTTAGCGGAAGGGTGACTCTCTTCTGGCCACAGGGTAGGGGGAGAGCCCTGCCAAGGTCAGGGTACCAGAGAAGAGGCCCTGCTTCATTGGCAGACACAGTGTACAGGGGACAGAGAGAAACAGAGGAGTCCAATGTTGGCAGACACAGTATACAGGGGACAGAGGGAAACAGAAGAGTCCAATGTTGTTACATCCAGCTGGGGGGCCCAGGAGGTACAGCTGCTGAGGAGGAAGAGAGGGACCAGGAAAACCTCCCTCCCCTCTCACCTTCCTTAGACACCCACCATGCACCCCACATGCCCACCCGATGCTGGTTTCTGGGAGAATATGAAGGGGCAGAAGTCATAGCCTGGGTCCTCAGGAAGACACTATGCGCCAGCTCTTCACTGAGAGTGTACCTTCACTGGCTGACCAAAAACCTGCCTTACTACCCCAGATTATCCCCACTTTACAAATATGGAAACCAGCTCTGGAGAGGTGGCCAAGAGCACCCAGAGAGTAAAAGGTAAAGCCAGCATTCAGCCCATTCACGACTGTACTGCTTGGCACAAGGATGCGGGCCCATGGAGGTCCCCGCGGAAGTCTTATGACCCACATTGGACTCGCTGAGTGGATACCATGTCATTCACTGACGCTGAGTGAATGCATGGATTCTGTGAGGAAGTCTGAAGAAGGGACAGGGGTTCCAGGAAAAAACAGTAGATTCCACACAGTGTCACTCCTTCCTGAAACCTCACCAGAACAACAATTAAAAAAGGATGTTCTGAATGCCATAGGCCCCTAGGGAGGGGGAGAATGGTAGAGGAAAAACCACCACAGAACTTTGGAAGCTGGAAAGCAGATGGGCTGGTGGCAGTTGAGAGCTGACCCAAGAAAATCACAAATCCCAGCGTGAGAGACACTTGACTGACCGCCTGCAATCCTCAAAAGCCCAGGAACTGGCAGCCCCGGAAACCTCTGGAAGAAGAGGTGAGTGTCAGAAGGGCAATGCTAAAATACAGGGGATTACTGAAAAGTTATTTAAGAGACAGTAAGGGCCGGGCGCGGGGGCTCACGCCTGTAATCCCAGCACTGTGGGAGGCCGAGGTGGGCGAATCACTTGAGGTCAGGAGTTCATGACCAGCCTGGCCAACATGGTGAAACCCCATCTCTACTAAAAATACAAAAGTTAGCCAGGCGTGGTGGCATGTGCCTGTAACCCCAGCTACTCAGGAGGCTGAGGCAGGACAATTGCTTGAACCCAGGAGGCAGAAGTTGCAGTGAGCCGAGATTGCACCACTGCACTCCAGCCTGGGCAACAGAGCAAGACTCCGTCTCAAAAAAAAAAAACAAAAAAAAACAAACATAAAAAAAAAAAAAAACACCTCTCAGCAAAGTAGGAATAAAAGAGAGCTTTTTGCAACCTGGTAAAGGTCAGATATGAAAAACCTATAGCTAATACCACTTTTTTTTGTTTTGTTTTGTCTTGTGAGACAGTTTTGCTCTGTCACCCAGACTGGAGTGCAGTGGCGCAATCTCGGCTCGCTGCAACCTCCACCTCCTGGGTTCAAGCGATTCTTGTGCCTCGGCCTCCCAAGTAGCTGGAATTACATGAGCATACCATCACACCCGGCTAATTTTTGTATTCTGGGTAGAGACAAGGTTTCACCATGTTGCCCAGGCTGGTCTTGAACTCGTGACCTCAGGTGATCCACCCACCTCGGCCTCCCAAAGTACTGGGATTACAGGCGTGAGCCACCGCACCCGGCCAGCTAACACCACTTTTTTTTTTTCTTTTGTGACAGAGTCGGAATGCAGTGGCGCCATCTCGGCTTACTGCAACCTCCACCTCCCAGGTTCAAGCAATTCTCCCACCTCAGCCTCCCAAGTAGCTGGGACTACAGGCATGTGCCACCACACCCAGCTAATTTTTTGTATTTTTAGTGGAGGCGGGGTTTCACCATGTTAGCCAGGATGGTCTCAATCTCCTGACCTCGTGATCTGCACATCTCGGCCTCCCAAAGTATTGGGATTACAGGCGTGAGCCACCGCGCCCGGCCAGCTAACACCACTCTTAATGGTGAGAGACTAAATGCATCCCCTGGAAGATCAGAAACAAGGTATCTACCCTTCTATTCAACATTATATTAGATGAGGCTGGGCTTGGTGGCCCACCCCCATAATCCCAGGACTTTGGCAGGCCGAGGCGGGCAGGTCACCTGAGGTCAGGAGTTTGAGACCAGCCTGGCCAACATAGTGAAACCCCATCTCTACTAAGGATACAAAAATTAGCCGGGTGTGGTGGTGGGTGCCTGTAATCCCAGCTGCTCAGGAGGCTGAGGCAGGAGAATCGCTTGAACCCAGGAGGCAGAGGTTGCAGTGTGCCAAGATTGTGCCACTGCACTCCAGCCTGGGCGACAAGCATGAAACTCCATCTCAAAAAAACAATAACATTATACCAGAGGATCCAGCCAGGGCAATCAGGCAAGAAAAAGAAGCAACAGGCATAAAGATCAGAAAGGAGGAAGTAAAACTTTATTAGCAGATGACACGGCGCCCTATGTAGAAAATCCAAAGGAAGTTACAAAAAAGCTTGCTAGAATAAGTCAATTTAGCAAGACTGCAGGATTCAAGCTCAAAATACAAAATCAATGGTATTTACATATACTAGCAACAAACAACTGGAAAGTAAAGTTTAAACAACGGTACCATCTCATAACAGCATTACTGACAACAGCCAAAAGGTGAAAGCCGCTTGAGGCCAGGAGTTGGAAACCAGCCTGGGCAACATGCCAAACTCCCGTCTCTACAGAAAATTCCAAAAAAAAATTAGCCAGGCATGGTGGTACACACCTGTAGTCCCAGCTACCCAGGAGGCTGAGGTGGGACGATCACCTGAGCCCAGGAAGTCGAGGTTGCAGTGAGCCATGATCACACCACTGCTCTCCGGCCTGGGAGACAGAGTGAGTGAGACCTTGTCTTTAAAAAAAAAAAAAAAAAAGGTGAAAGCAATCCAAGTAAATGGATAAACAAAAAGTGGTATATTCATACAATAGAATATTATTTACCCTTTAAAAAGAAGAAAATTCTGACATATGCTGCAATGTAAATGAACCTTGAATACGCTAGGCCGAGGTGAAATAAGCCAGGCACAAAAGCACAAACACTGTAAAATTCTACTTCTATGAGGCACCTACAGGAGCCAAATTCATAGAGTCAGAAGGTAAAATGGTGGTTCTCAGGGGCTGAGAGAGGAGGGAATGGGAAGTTACTGTTTAATAGGTGCGGTTTCAGTTTCACAAGATGAGAAAAGTCCTGGAGATGGATGCTGGTGACGGCTGTGCAACAGTATGAATGTATTTACCACCACTGCAGATGGTTACAATGGCAGTATATTATGTATATTTTACCACAATTAAAAGTTTTTAAAAATAAAAAACCAATACTACCAGGAAAAACCAGTATCATTTACAATAGCATAAAAATAGGTACTATTTAAGGATATGTTCAATAAAAGATGGAAAAGACTGATATACCAAAAACTACAAAACACTGCTGAGAGATAGTAAACAAAACCTAGACAAATACAGAGATATACACTGTTCATGGTCAGAAGGCTCAATACTGCTAACCGATCAATTCTCCCCAAATTGATCATAATCCCAATCAAAATCCCAGCAGGCTTTTTTGTAGAAATTGACTAACTAATTCTAAAATGTATATGGAAGTGCAAAGAACCCAGAATAGCTAAAGCAATTTTGAAAAGACAAAACCAAGTTTGAGATCTTACCCTGATTTCAAGACTTACTATAGTTTATAAACCCACAGTAATCAAGATAGTGTGATACTGGGATAAAGACAGACAAATAGATCAATGGAACAAAACAGAATCCAGAATTAGACACACACAAACAATTGATTTTTTTCTTTTTCTTTTTGAGATGGAGTCTCACACTGTCGCCCGGGCTGGAATGCAGTGGCGCAATCTTGGCTCACTGCAACCTCCGCCTCCCGGGTTCATGCGATTCTCCTGACTCAGCCTCCTGAGTAGCTGGGATTACAGGTGCCCGCCACCACGCCTGGCTAATTTTTTGTATTTTTAGTAGAGACAGGGTTCCACTACGTTCACCAGCTTGGCCTTGAACTCCTGACCTCATGATCCGCCCGCCTCAGCCTCCCAAAGCACTGGGATTAGAGGAGTGAGCCACCGTGCCCAGCCAGCAATTGATTTTTGACAAAGATTCAAAGGCAATTCAGTGGAGAGATACATCTTTTTAATAAATGGTGCTACTAGATCAATTAGATCTCTACATGCAAAAAACTGGACATTGATTCATACCTTGCACCACGTAACAAAAATTAACCCCAAACGAATCCTAGATCTCAATGTAAAGCCCAAAACTATAAAATGTCTACAAGAAAATACAGGGGAAAACTGTTGGGACTTTGGGTCAGGCAAAGATTTCTTGGACATGACACCAAAAATGCAATCCACAAAGTAACAAATTAGTAAATTAATCAAAATTTACAACTTCTCTTCAAAAACACAGCATTTTGCACTACTGATCATGAGAATTTTTTAGAAGACATTGTTAAGAGGATCAAAATACAAAGCCACAAGCTGGAAAAAAGATTTGTAAATCACATACCTGATAAAAGGCTTATATCCAGAATATATCAAGAACTCTTCAGAACTCAACACGAAAAACCCTACACAATTAAAAATGGGCAAACGATCTGAACAGACACAGCACCAAAGACATACGTATGGCAAATGAGCACATGAGAAGATGCCCGACAACATGAGTCATTAAGGAAATACAAATTAAAATTGTAATGAGATACCACTACAGACATGAGAGTGTCTAAAATTAGAGACTGACCACATCGAGATGTGGACATATCAAAGACATGGACAAACCAGAACTCTCATACACAGTGGATGAGTATATAAAATGTACAACCACTTTGGAAAACAGTCTGGCAGTTTCTTAAAGGTTAAATGTGTACCTACCACATGACCCAGCCATTCCGGTCCTAGGGATTTACCTAAGATAAATAAAAGTGTACATCCACACAAAGACTAACAAACACGTTCACAGCAGCTTTCTCTGAAAACCCATCAACAGGTCAATGGATAAACAGACTTTGGCACACGTGTACAATGACTGTTGATACGCGCAACCACCTGGACAAACTCCAAAATACTTCTGTTGAATGAAAGACGCGATTCCGTTTACAGTAAATGCTGCAAACTCAGACACAGTGACAGAAAGTAGACCAGCCTGTTACCTGGGGTAGGGGATGGCAGAGGAGCGGGGGATGGAGGGGTTCCACAAGAAAACTTCTGGGGACAGGGGAATAAGGGGGATGTTCACTATCTTGAAGGTGGGGGTGGTTTCACGGGTATATACACAGGCCACAACTTATTAAATTGTGTGTTTTAAATATGCTCAGTTTACCATATGTCATTATATCTCAATAAAACTGTTATTTAAAACAAACAAAAAGAAACACTGCATCTTCTAGACGAAGCACAAGGTGGGGGCTAATCCCGGGCTCAGGGGCCAGAGGGAACAGTCTGACCCTTCCTCCCTAACATCTGCCGGGGCTCCGGGGAGGTGGGCACCAGGCTCCAAAGGGCCTGAGGTTTCTTTACTCACGACACTGCAGGGGAAGTCCTGGCCCACCGCAGACACCAAGAAACTGAAACCTAAAGACATTATGTTGCCCAAGGAAGTTACACAGCTTGTAAGCGATATAACCAGATCAAAAGCAATCTGTGTGATGCCAAGGCCTTTCTCCCATTCATCTACCACAAGTTCAAAAACGCCGACCTGAAATAAGTAGGTGAAGATTGTGTGTATGTGTTTAAAACAGACCGTTCTCTCCACTGAAGCCAGACAGTGAGAGCCACTCTGGCCATTCCAGAAGCGTCAGGCACCGTGGGCACAGCAGCTGAACTTCCGGTGCATGAGTGTTTGGGTGGCAGCGCGACAGGCATGGGATGAAGCTGACAGGCGGGTTTGAGTTTGTCTGAGGAGCGGGCTAACCGGCTCCTCCAGCAGCTGCTACCTCCAGCACCACTCCCTCTGCCCCCAGAGGAGAGCACCCAGTCTGGTTCGGGACAGGGGTCTGGGTCCATCTGACTCACAGCCACACCTCGGGCTGGGGCAGAGGAGGGTCCTCTAGCTAAGGCCCTGGGCAAGCAGCAACCCTGCACCCATCCCCACCCAGGGGCAGGGGAAGCAAGCACCTGACAGTGCCAGGTAAGAGGCGAACAGCTCTAGGAGAGTAAGGCCCACAAGCAGCCCGCCAAGCCCCCTGGGGGCACGAGGCGGAATGAGTAGGTCTGGCACTCAGGCCACGAGGGAGTCAACAAGCCAAATACAGCCCCCACCCTTGGCCCCTACAAGCCCTACCTCTAGACTGGGCTGGGAGCTCCTGTCCTGACAGGTGCAGAGCCCATGATACCACAGCGGCCCATCTGCAAACCTCCCCAGGGTGGGGCCACAGAGGCAGCCCAGAGCCCTGGGGTGCAAGTGCACCCTCCTCTCCCGCCCCTCTAACGCTGGGTCGTCCCACCCAGAGACGAGAGGGCTCACCAGTTGCTCTCCCTCCTTCCGCCCACTAATCATCCTTGGCTCTGGGCCCTCAGGGTAAATCAGCTGTGACAGGACGGCGTGGCAGAAGCGGGCCAGGCTCGTGCCGTACCCAAGCCACTAGCTGTCACACTCATCTCAGCTCACGTGACCAACAGGGTTACAAGATAAGGTTCTGTTAATCCCACGCTGCCCTCTTCCCTTCTGTGGGACGTGTTTTGAGGACTTGTGTGTTGACTGCACCATGCAGAGCATATAGCATGGAGGCACCCCTACTGCCATCGGGGGGCAGGTGGAGGGGGGACCGTCCTGCAGCTCCTCCCTGGGGCTACCCCTCTCTTCCCTCTGCACAGACCTGGCAGCCACCCAGACGTCCCGCCTGCTGCCTAGACTCTAAGAAGATGCCCTATCACTCCAATTACCATACACAGTACTGGCGGGGGAGAGGTCCTGCCTTGCCGCTGAAAACTGCACTGCTTCCTCCCTCCAGGGATGAAAGGCCAAAAGAACGAGGGCAGTGTGGAGTCTACGCTCTCGCCAGGGACCTGCAGCCTCTCACTTCCAAGCACACCAACTCCAGCTAACAGGACTGGGCTTCCTTACCTGCCGCCTTCCGCTGCCTCCCCGCAGACACAGCTTCAGCGACGCCCAGGCTGAGACGGCAGAAGAGGTTCCCGCCGGCCGCGGCCTGCCCTCAGGCAGTGGCTCCCAGAGCTCAGCGGTTCCCCGCACTCTTCTGCGCCCGACTCCCCATGCCCCTACATCCTGCGTCCCCTTCAGCCCCGGAGGTACCGTGGGGCCCGGGCCTGCCAGTCACCACCTCCTCCTCCGCCGGCGCCTCCGGGTCCTGAGCCCCTCGCCGGGTCCCTCTCCCTCCTGGGGCTCCTTCCCGTTCAGGTAGGTTTCCTGGACAGCCCGCACCACCTGTCCCTCCTGCACCCCGGGCAGCCAATTCGCCTCTTGCACCCCCAGGCGCCCCTCCCCCGCAGGCCCCCGGGGCCCCACCGGCCGGGCCCTCCCCACCAGCTCGGGGCGGCTTCGGGGCGCCGGGGCCGCTCCCAGGACCACCGCCTCCCGCCCGACGCTCTCCCACTGCCGCTCCCCCAGTTCGCCGGAACTTTCCGGCCCCTCCCTGCGCTCGCGGGGGCCTTCCCCGGACTCGGACGCCGGTTCGGGCTGCTGCAGCAGCCTCCGCGGGCTCCCCTCCCCGCGCTCCTGCACCCCGGCCCGGGCCTCGCCGCGCTCCTGCACTGCGGGGCTGCCTCCGCCCTTCTCCTGGTGCTGCCCGCGGGGCCCCAGCCCCTCCTCCTGCGCCACAGGCCAGCCCGCCGAGCCCGTCCACCACGGCGGGCGCCCCCAGCCCGCGCCGTCCGGCGGCCCCCACACCACCCCCCGGCTGGGCTCGTGGCCGCGGCCGCCGCGCTCCTGCAGCCCCGGGCCCACCCCGCCCTCCTCCTGCACCGCCGGGCCCACCCCGCCCCGCTCCTCCACGCCGAGCTTCAGCCCGCGGAGCTGCTGCGGGCCCCAGCTGAGAACCCCTACGCGCTGCGGCTGCTGCTCCGGCAGCGCAGGGCTCAGCCCGCCGCGCTCCTCCTGCGCGACCCGCCGGGGGCCCCCGACCGGCTCGGCCCAGCGCACTCGCTTGCCCCCCAGAGGCCGCGCGCTCCCACCCCTCCAGATGGTGCTGCCCTCGGCGCCCGCTCACACCGCCCGCCCGCCCCGGCCCTCCCCTCCCGCCCCGGGCCGCCCCCGAGTCCCGCGCCCGCCTCCCCGCCCTCGCCTCCGGGCGTCAACGTCGGCCCGCCGGGCGCCCGCCCCGCGCCGGCCCCCGCAGGTGAGCGCCCGCCCGCCGTCCCTCCTGCCGAGCGCCCCGAGCCCGCCTGCGCCTGCGCCTGCGCCGCCCCGGGGTGGGGGGTGGGGGGGAGTCGGCCCGCCCTCTTAAAGGGCCCGGCCTCATCGCTCCTCCCCCGGCTCCTCCCCCAGCCTCCGGGGCCCTACCCCGCTCTCCCCGACTCCCCCGGGCCCGGCCTGCGCCTTCCTGCGGTGCCGAGGAGCGGTGGCGCCCTGGGTGAAGAAGTCCCGCCGAGTCGAGGGGCGCAATGGAGGAGCGCCGGAACAGGTCTCTCATTCCGAGTAGCTACCGTTGCACTGTGCGAGTGTAAAAGTCACTTCCACCCGGTCTCAGTTGTTCCAACCTCAGTTGAAGTGAGGAGGTTGGACTGGAAGGTTTCTGGGGTCACTCCAGTGAGGCTGGGGTTCTAGTCCCAATCTCACCGTGGCACCCCAAAGGCCCAGAAACCCGGACCATCACCTCTCTTTCCCCGGGGCCAACGGAGCACTCCTGAAGGAGGGAGGGTTTGTCTCAGGCCTGACGATTCCTGATGAGGACTTGGGCAGAAACAGCCCCAGGCAAGCGGACCTTCATTCCTGCACTTGAGCCGTCTCCTCCCTGCCCCCACCCCAGAAGGAGAAAACCCAGCGCTCGGATTCCCAGCGGCGGGGCAGCCTGCAGGCCCTGTTCCCAGCCCACAGACCCATGTCCCAGCCCAAACGGAGGCAGCCCTGGGCAGCGGGCGCGTGGAGCCCAAGGGCTCAGGGCCACTCAGCCCTTGTTACTGTCCCTCATCTAGAAAATGGATGTAATAACAAAACAGTTCACGGTAGGTGGCAAGATCAGACACATCGGAAACTGTGTAGGGCTGGCTCTTTCTGCGCTCACACTGTCCAGCAATGGGCCCCAGGGACTTGGCCAGAGCGCAGTAGGGCAATGAGAAAGGGGTGGCTTCTGGAAACCTACACGAGGCCCAGTCTGGGTGGATTTGGGTGGCGGTCCCTTGCCTGCGAGGTGGGCAGGGCAACTTTCTACTAAATTATCTAACACTGCCAGTAATGGCAGCCCTTCCCCAGGGAGCCAGGAGGCTGGGCCAGGACCACCCCCCTGTCGCCTGGCTTCAGGAAAGAAAGTGGGGAAGACAACAGATTTGGGAGAAGGAAACTGAGGAGGTTTTCTCCCAGTCTCCCTCACGCTGCCTCAGTCATGGCCATTGCTAAGACTCACAGAGCCCAACTGTGCAAGGCCCTGCACTTCGCATTCTTCTCATCCAACCCCATGACAACCCAAGGAGACACATAATATCCCCATTTTACACGTGGCAGAACTGAGGTTCTACATGGCCAAGTGACTTGTTCAGTGCCATACAGCTGGTAGTAGTGAAGCCAGGATTCAAATCCAGCTTTCCGACTCTAAAGTCTAAGGCACAGACCGAGTGTGGTGACTCATGCCTGTAATCACAGCACTTTGGAGGCTGAGGAGGGCAAATCATTTGAGCTCCCAAGTTCAGGACCAGCCTGGGCAACACGGCAAAACCCTGTCTCTACAAAAAAAATAGAAAAATTAGCAGAGCATGGTGGCACGCACCTGTAATCCCAGCTACTCGGGAGGCCGAGGGGGGAGGATCGCTTGAGCCTGGGAGGTGGAGGTTGCACTGAGTAGAGACCACACCACTGCACTCCTGCCTGGGCAATAGAGCCAGACCTTGCCTCAAAAAAAAAAAAAATCTGAGGCACAAAAAAGCAACGCCAAATCCAGGGGCCCTGCTTCAGGAAGCATCAGGACTAACTAGATTTTATTGGTCAATAGATGCAAACAACTGATTTAGAGCAAACTTCCCCTCCAGTAAATCAAGCTCCAAATCAAACAAAGCTAGAGGTCAAAGCGCCTCCACGCTGGTTGGTCCTGCTCCTAGGGCAGCACAGCCCCCCATTTCCCCAGCCCCCCATCTCTCCAGTTTCCCTCAAGAAGCCAGAGCCATGCCCCATATGCACCTCTAGTGTAGGATTATCTGGAGCTTTAGGTTCAAAGGAAAGAGTGAGGTCTCCTGCTCCCTTCCTCCCTCCCACCCTGTTCCTCACCAACTCCTGGACGGTCCCTGCCATGCGGTTGAGAACTGGGGCTATGCTGGGATGTGTCCGTGACACTGATCATGGTGGCCAGAGAGACACCGAGGGAGACTGCTCTGCCACTAGGGAGCTGACATGAGGAAGGAGCCCCAGACTAAAAACATAAGTCTCAGGAGATTTGGGAGGTGGCCACAGGGATAACCCCAACCCTCTAATTAACGTGCCTGAGCCAGTCTCCTCCTACATCTGGAACTTTAGGAGAGCTGCCCACAGCAGAATGACTCGGCAAGGAGAAGGGCTTGTCGGGTCTAGCTGGGAGTGGAGGTGGGCCAGGCTGCCAGAGGGAGGCTTTGGGTGGTGCCCTTAAGAGTCTCCTTCATGAGCTGTTTTGCACTGTGAGGTAAGCAAGAGGGCAAGGAAGGCCATTGCTGGGGAATGGGCCGCCTGGCTCACACCTGCAGGCAGCTGCTAAGCCAAGAGTGGGTGGGTGCTGCTGAGGGATTGGGCTTCTAGTTTGTTTGTTTTTATTTTTTTATTTTTTTGAGATGGAGTTTCGTGCTTGTTGCCCAGGCTGGAGTGCAGTGGTGCAATCTCGGCTCACCGCAACCTCTGCCTCCCGGGTTCAAGCGATTCTCCGGCCTCAGCCTCCCTAATAGTTGGGATTACAGGCACCCGCCACCACGCCCAGCTAATTTTTTGTATTTTTAGTAGAGACGGGGTTTCGTCCTGTTACCCAGGCTGGTTTTGAACTCCTGGCCTCAAGCAATCCACTCATCTCGGCCTCCCAAAGTGCCAGGATTATAGGCCTGAGCCACTGCGTACAGCTTGTTTTTAAATAAAGCAGTTTTTAAAACTACTGTTGCAACCTTTTAGAGGGAGGTAAACTGAATATGGTGGATTTTGAATGACTATTTTTTTGTTTTATGAAAGAGGATAATAATAGAATAGAAAATATGAGAATGTTTGGCCGGGTGCGGTGGCTCACACCTGTAATCCCAGCAGTTTGGGAGGCCGAGGCAGGTGGATCACCTGAGGTCAGGAGTTCGAGACCAGCCTGACCAACATGACGAAACCCCGTCTCTACTAAAAATACAAAATTAGCCGGGCATGATGGTGCACGCCTGTAATCTCAGCTACTTGGGAGGCTGAGACAGGACAATCGCTTGAACCTGGGAGGCGGAGGTTGCAGGGAGCTGAGATCACGCCACTGCATTCCAGACTGGGCGACAGAGCAAGACTCTGTCTCTCTCAAAAAAAAAAAAAGAAAGAAAGAAAGAAAGAAAGAAAATATCACAATGTAATTTTTGAACTTTTTATTGACGTACAGCATACCTCCAGAGAAGTGCTGAAAGCTTGCATTCTTACAGGTAATACACCCAGCACCCAGATCAAGAAATGGAACATAACCAGCACCCCAGAACCCTACCCTAAAAATGTAATTTAAAAAAAAAGATTTTAATAAATATCTTTTAGCGTGCCCTTTATATACATGGTTTACTTTTAACTTTCTGATCCCCTTGCCCTCCTCCTAGAATAGAAACCTCCCAACAACCGGGGCTTCTAGACACAGGCAGCTAGAATGAGGCCTGGCGCAAAGCAGGTGCCAAAACTACCTGCTGAATGAATGGGAGTGCAGAGTGCACCCCAGGTAGTGAAGGCATTGTTTCTGTGGTGTACTTGCTTCCTCGTTGTAAAGTCCGTTTCTTTCTGTAGGTCACAGTCAAAACACGGAGAGCCATGGCTACAACTTGAGCAAGTCAAACACGCTGTGATTCAGGCCAGGGAGATGAGCGTGGGTAAAGAACACTGTACGAACTAGCTCAGGGCTTCTGGAACTGTGTGCGGCTGAATCACCGGGGCATCTTGGTGAACTGTAAATTCTGATTCAGCAAACTGGGAGGAGGGCGCTGAGATCCAGCATTTCCATCAAGCTTCCCATGGACCACACTCTGACTATCAGGGCCTTCGATGCAGACAGTCTCGATACAGCTGCACACAAGAATCACACAGAAAGTTTTAAAAATGCCAATGCCAGGCCAGGCACAGTGGCTCACGCTTGTAATCCCAGCACTTCGGGAGGCCGAGGCAGGCAGATCACAAGGTCAGGAGTTCGAGACCAGCCTGGCCAACACAGTGAAACCCCGTCTCTACTAAAAATACAAAAATTAGCTGGGCGTGGTGGCAGGCACCTGTAATCCCAGCTACTCGGGAGGCCAAGGCAAGAGAATCACTTGAACCTGGGAGGCGGAGCTTGCAGTGAGCCAAGATCGCTCCATTGCACTCCAGCCTGGATGACAGAGCGAGACTCCATCTCAAAAAAAAAAAAAAAAGTGCTGATGCCCAAGCACCACCCTAGAACACTTAAATTGGAATCTCTTGGATGGGGGTTGGCATCTTCATTGTATTGTTTTTGTTTTTTGGTAGAGACAGGGTCTCAAGATGTTGCCCAGGCTGGTCTCGAACTCCTGGGCTCAAGCTATTCTCCTGCCTCAGCCTTCTCAAAGTGCTGGGATTACAGGCATGAGCCCCCGCGCCCAGCCTGAGCATCTTAGTTTTTTTGTTTGTTTGTCTCTGTCACCCAGGCTGGAGTACAGTGGTGCGATCTTGGCTCACTGCAACCTCTGTCTCCCGGGTTCAAGCAATTCTCCTGTCTCAGCCTACCGAGTAGCTGGGATTACAGGCACGCACCATCACATCACACCCGGCTAATTTTTATATTTTGAATAGAGACAGGGTTTCACCATGTTGGTCAGGCTGGTCTTGATCTCCTGACCTCAGGTGATCCACCCGCCCTGGCCTCCCAAAGTGCTGGGATTACAGGTGTGAGCCACTGCTCCCAGCCAGCATCTTAGTTTTTAAAAGCTCCTTAAGTGATTCCAACCAGCTACCAGACATGGGAGGTGCTTGGCTGAAGGCAAACTCTGGCGGGGAGGAGGAGCCAGTCTGTTCCCAAGCACACCCTCACTGCCTAGAAGGAGGCCTGGGCTAAGGCCCACGGAAGGGAGGGCTGGGATCAGGACGATCTGACTTGACAAAGGGCCACCATTTCTGAGTCAGGAGGGGATCACTTGCCTCCTGGCGGAGGTGAAGAGACGGATTTCTGAAGGAATTCTTAGGCATGGTGTGTATCTGCTAACCCCGGCCACATCCTCCCAGGACCGAGAACAGACTGTGCCTTCACCCTATTGCCCAAGTCAGAGGTCCCTGGAGCTGCCAAGGGGGCTGTGCTCACATGCCCCCGAGCAATTCAGTTTTCAAAACCTTACTAGGCCGTTGGGAGGAGGCACTGCCAGCTGCTCCCACACACCTGCCCCCTCTGCCCAATCACAGCAAGAGCCAAATGAGCCGAGAGATGACAAACCCTGAGGTCATCATGGGCTCTTCTGAAACAGAGCCTCATGGAGCCCTGCGCTCTGGTGCCCCCTGGTGGACACCTAGAGTTGTGGTTGGTAACCAACAAATGGACCAGTGAGTTCAGTTACTCCTGATTGGTTGGTGTTCGGGCACAGTCATGCCAGATGTGGCCCCATACACAGAATCAAGGAATTTCTAGTGCGGCGCAGTGGCTCACAGTTGGAATCCCAGCACTTGGGAGGCAGAAGCAGCAGGATCAGTTGAGTGTAGGAGTTCAAGGCTGCAATGAGCTATGATCTGCACTCCAGCCTGGGTGACAGAGGGACACCCTGTCTCTAAAAAAATTAATTTTTTTGAGACAGTGTCTCGTTCTGTCACCCACGCTGGAGTGCAGTGGCATGATCTCGGCTCACTGCAACCTCTGACTCTTGGGTTCAAGCGATTCTCCTGCCTCAGCCTCCCCAGTAGCTGGGATTACAGGCATGCGCCACCACGCCCGGCTAATTTTTGTATTTTAGTAGAGACGGGGTTCCACCATGTTGGCCAGGCTGGTCTTGAATTCCTAAGCTCAAGTGATCCTCCCGCCTCGGCCTCCCAAAGTGCTGGGATTACAGGCGTGAGCCACTGCGCCGGGCCAAAAAGAAATTAATTTTTAAAAAAGAGGCTAGGCATGGTGGTTTACACCTATAATCCCAGTATTTTGGGAGGCCCAGGTGGGAGGCTGCTTGAGGCCAGGAGCTAGAGACCAGCTTGGGCAACATGGCAAGACTCCCTACCTACAAAAAATTTAAAAATTAGTCAGTCGTGGTGGTGTGCACCTGTCATCTCAGCTACTCAGGAGGCTGAGGTGGGAGGATTGTTTGAGGCCAGCAGTTCGAGGCTGCAGTGGGGGGTACCATCACACCACTGCACTCCAGCCCTGGGCAACAGAGAGAGGCGTTGTCTCAGAAATAAATAAATTAAATAAACAAACTTCCAGTGGAGGAGTCAAGACCAATCATATGAAGGACGGGCTCCTTTGATTCTTCACCTACTCCTTTAACTCCCTGAAATCTGGCCTCCCCTGGAGCCCACCATACTAAGTGTGGGAAATGTTGCAGTCAAGGCTTGTCTTTAAATGGTGAGGTACTGTGTCACTCTTGCACCTTTCTTCTGCTCTCTCCTTTGCTCAAATCCAATTTGCAGTGCAGACACTGCACAGTCTTTAGCTAACTGTTCTTCCTCCTTCTGCTAAAATAGTGAGCCTCCCAGGCAAGCCCATACCTGCTCCGTTCTTGGCTACCCTCTCCAGCTTGGTAAGATCGTTTCCACCCACTGCCACTCCCCGACTCCCCTCCCACAGCTGAGCCAGCGAGGCCCCCAGGTACCAAGCTCCCTGCATCTGCGGCTGCCTGCCTGCGCACTGATGTTGAGTGGACACCCAGACTTGCTCCATCTTAGGAGGTAGCAACAGAACCCAAACTCTCAGTTCCAGCTCTCCTTCCCTTCTCCCCTGGCTCTCTCATTTGTCCAGAAAGCAGATTCAGGTTCTTGGCAGCCCCCTTTACCCATCTCCTCCTTCAGCACCTAATACACCTACTTCAGCCCCAGATACCTCAGGGCTCCACCCTTCTGCCTCCTCTCTCGACTCACTTCCTCTCAGCTACCACTTTATTCCACATAGAAAGAACCTGTGTCCAAGTCCTAGCTTCCCCACGTTCATTTTTCAAACAGTGATCAAGTACCTTTGGGATGCCAGACCCCTAACCATGAGGTGACTTCCATGTGAGTGGGATCAGATCCTTCCATTAGCCTCTGCACGTAAGACATGAACCCTCACCGGGAGACTGTAAGAATTACACAAGATAATGCGATGCTATTCACACCCTTGAATGGCATGATTACAGCAAACATTGTGTAGATGACCTTGCCGACTTCAGTCCCTGTACCTCCTGGTTAATTCCCTGTTAATCTTCCTAAAACATCGATTTCATCATGTCTCTCCCTTACTCAAGAACTCCACATTGCTCCCCAGTTCCACGCAGCATCGCTCCCCGGTTCCACTCAGCATTCCTCCCCGGTTCCACGCAGCATCGCTCAGTGCCCCACAGGTGTGAGTGTTCTACAAATCACAGCAGCCCTTAGGGGATGATTCACCACAGTAGCAGAGTTGGAAGTTGGGTCTAGAAGGGCCAAAAAGCCAAAACACACAAAAAGCCACAGCGAAGATAGGTCTGTGGGTTAAAACTCAAGGAAATTCCATGCCTAGAAGACAAGGCAGTCAGTATGTCAGAAATCAGGGAAGCAGGTGAAGACACAGATACAAGTCACCCTCAGCAAGGATGCCAATCTGTAACTTCTGCAGAGACGGGCTTGTCCATAGAAAAAAGGGACGTTCCTGGAACATTTGCTGTAGTTATCCAAGACACCTCACTATCAGCAGACCCAAAGAAGGTGACCGGGTGGTTAGGCCCAGAGGAACACTCGCAGGGGAACGCAGGGCACCTACGAGGTGAGTACAGCTTCTACGGTCTCACCAACAGCACTTCTTTGTTACTGGGATGCAGAGGAAACGATTATAAAAGAATAAATTTAGACCGGGTGTAGTAGCTCACGCCTGTAATCCCAGCACTTTGGGAGGCTGAGATGGGCAGATCACCTGAGGTCAGGAGTTTGAGACCCACCTGGCCAACATGGTGAAACCTCATCTCTACTAAAAATACAAAAATCAGCTGGATGTGGTGGCGGGCGCCTGTAGTCCCAGCTACTCAGGAGGCTGAGGCTTGAGAATCACTTGAACCCTGGAGGCAGAGGTTGCAGTGAGCCGAGTTTGCGCCATTGCACTCCAGCCTGGGCAACAGAGCGAGACTCCATCTCAAAAATAAATAATTAAATAAATAAATAAATAAAAATTTGAAGGGTAGAATTGAATCTGGGTGTGAAGTTTGAAGGAGGGAATGTACATTCTCAATGGGAGAGGGATTTTATGTTACAGCTGAAAAGGCCTTAGAGAACATCAAGTCTAACACTCACTTAGCAGTGAGGACACAGGCTCTGAGAGGTAGAGTGAGTGACCCACAAACAGCAATTGAAGGATAGAGCAGGTGACCCATGGACTTACAGCAATTGAAGGGTAGAGCGGGTGACCCACGGACTCACAGCAATTAAAGGACAGAGCAGGTGACCCACGGACTCACAGCAATTAAAGGATAGAGCAGGTGACCCACAGACACACAGCAACTGAAGAGTAGAGCGGGTGACCCACGAACACACAGCAACTGAAGAGTAGAGCGGGTGACCCACGGACACACAGCAACTGAAGGGTAGAGCGGGTGACCCACGGACACGCAGAAATTGAAGGGTAGAGCGGGTGACCCACGGACACGCAGCAATTGAAGGGTAGTGACTGCAATTGGATTAGAATCTCCATGACCAAGATAGAAATCCAGGGCGCCTACTCTACTCTACTCTCTCTCTCACCCGACTCCTGAACCCTCTAATACACACATAAATACCATGCTGAAGCTGCGCTGCAACAAACCCAGACGCGAGAAAAGTATGTTAGTGAATCTTGGGAATTTACATATGGGGATTGTATATGGCCCTGTCTTGATTTGCCTGGTTATAGGTGATGAAAAAGTACTTTGGCCAGGCACAGTGGCTCACGCCTGTAATCTCAACATTCTGGGAAGCTTCAAGGCAAGAGGATTGCTTGAGGCCAGGAGTTGAAGACCAGTCTGGTCGACACCCCATCTCTACAAAAATAAAAGAAAAAATTAGCTGGGTGTGGTGGCACGCGCCTGTAGTCCCAGCTACTCGGGAGGCTGAAGCGGGAAGATTGCTTGAGCCCAGGAGTTTGAGGTTACAGTGAGCTATGATGCTGCCACTGCACCCCGGCCTGGGCAACACAAGCAAGACCCCTACTCAAGAAATAAAAGAAGCCGGGCGCGGTGGCTCACTCCTGTAATCCCAGGACTATCGGAGGCCGACACAGGAGGATCACTTGAGCTCAGGAGTTTGAGACCAGCCTGGCCAACATGGTGAAACCCTGTCTCTACTAAAAATACAAAAATTAGCTGGGTGTGGTGGCAGGTGCCTATAATCCCAGCTACTCAGGAGGCTGAGGCAGGAGAATCGCTTGAACCTGGGAGGTGGAGGTGGCAATGAGCCGAGATCGTGTCACTGCACTCCAGCCTGGGTTACAGAGCGACACTTCATCTCAAAAAAAAAAAAGTTAAAACAGAGCCATTACTTCAAAAATTATTTTTGATGTAGGATTATGTATCCAGCCAAACTGTTAATAAAATGTGATTGAATAAAGGCCTAAAAAATATACAAGATCAGCTGGACACGGTGGCTCACACCTGTAATCCTAGCACTTTGGGAGGCTGAGGTGGGTGGATCACTTGAGGTGGGAAGTTCAAGACCAGCCTGACCAATATGGTGAAACACGGTCTCTACTAAAAATACAAAAATTAGCCAGGCATGGTGGCAGGTGCCTATAGCCCCAGCTACTCAGGAGGCTAAGACAGGAGAATTGCTTGAACCCAGGAGGCGGAGGTTGTAGTGAGCCGAGATTTCGCCAGTGCTTTCCAGCCTGGGTGACAGAGCAAGACTCCGTCAAAAAAAAAAGAAAAAGAAAAAGAAAAAAGAGCTAAAGCCACATTTCCTGTTGCAGAAAATCAACAGATAATATCTAAAACTGGAAACATTTTAAGTTATTTAGAAATAAAGAGATAAACGCCAAAAGAAACTGCTAAAAGAGTTGAAAACCATGGCTTCTAAGGACTGGGGAAAGTCAGAGCTATCCTTTATTATAAACCTTGAAGACTATTTGAGTTTTTAAAACTATGCATAAGTATTTTATTGATAAAAATCAAAATTAATTAGAAAAACAAATCTTTTTAGCTTGAAATAACTGGCATTAACATTAAGGAAACAGTGGTCAGCCGCGGTGGCTCACGCCTGTAATCCCAGCACTTTGGGAGGCCGAGACGGATGGATCACTTGACCTCAGGAGTTTGAGACCAGCCTCGCCAACATGTTGAAACCCCATTTCTACCAAAAATACAAAAGTTAGCCAGGCGAGGTGGTGCATGCCTGTAATCCCAGCTACTCGGGAAGCTGAGGCAGGAGAATCGCTTGAGCCCAGGAGGTGGAGGTTGCAGTGAGCCAAGATTGTGCTACTGCACTCCAGCCTGGGTGACAGAGTGAGACCTTGTCTCAAAAAATAAAAAATAATGCTGCTTTCTGCCTGCATACTGAGTCCTTCTCATTTAAAAACCAGTTATGTATAACTATGAATATATGACACTCTTTTTACATGTTCTATCATGCAAATGGATTTTTAATTTGGCATGTTGAGATCTATCGTTGCTGAAACATAGTTCATTTTAACCTCCAGAGATACACGATTGCATGAATATACAATTTTTCTCAATCCTCATTCAGGGACATTTTGAGTGTTTCCAATTTTTTGCTGTTACAAACACTTCTGTGATGAACATCTTGTATACACGTCCCCTTGTGAGAACACGGATGGACCTCTCTTCCAGTTTAACTAGGCTGCAGGCATAATGTGCACTTTCAGATACCGTCTGCAACGCCAAACTCTTTTTCCAAAATGCGTATATCAGTTTTCACTGTCACCATCAGCGTTTATGAGTTTGTGGGAGATTCTTACCTTCTTTTTCTTACATTGATTAAATTTATTATGATGATTTTTTTGGAAACGGAGTCTCACTATGTTGCCCAGTCTGGAGTGCAGTGGCTATTCACAGATGCGATCCCACTACAGTGAGTTTTGCCCTGCTCCATTTCTGACCTGGGCCACTTCACCCACTTTAGGCAACCTGGTGGTCTCCCCATCCTGAGAGGTCACCATATTGATGCCGAACTTAGTGCAGACACCCAATCAAAGTAGGGCACAGCTGCCCAGAGCTCCTGGGCTCAAGCCACCCTCCTCCTCAGCCTCCCAAGTAGCTGGGATTACAGGCGTGCACCACCGCACCTGGCAAGATTCTCAGCTTCTTTGAGACCGAGATTGGTGTTTTTCCTTCAGAGCTATTAAAGGCGGCTGTGCTTCCTGTTTTATAGACACTTTTCCTGCAGCCTGAGGCCATTAAATTGGCACTGAGAGTCTGATGCCATCCTTGGGCCTGGTCCTCACTGGTGCAGGGTTTTTCCCAGAGTTTATGCCACCCGGTAAGAGATGGGGTGGTAGGAATCCACACCCATGGGGTGATACCCTCGGGCCTCTAAGCCTCCCGCGTGCACTGACAGACAGCATTTCTGACATTCAGCTCTATTGTTCCCTATTCCTGTTTCTCGTTAGTTTCCTAGAAGGCAGAAAAGGTTGCCCTTCTCCAATAGGAACGCTCAGCGTTTTGATGACTCATCATTTTGCCTTTCATGGGCGTAACGGCACAACCTCTTTGCTACACTGCATTGGTCTCCAGAATTTTCTGTTCCTTTCCTTGAAGGCCACTCTGGAAAGCTTCCAGCATCAAGTTGGACCTGCTCCTGTGATTGGTTCTGATGCTGCTCCCCTGCCGGGCGCCACCCACCTCCTCATCCCGGTCAATTTCCCGAGTTGGAAGGGAGCTCGCCTTTCAGCCCTCCACCTTACTGGAAGCATTCTGCATATTAATTATGTGCCCAGACACTTAACAAATCCTTCCTTCTACAAAGTGTATGCAAAACGCCGCATCCACACCCAGAAGCACTTGCCACACATAACAGAGGAGCACTTCCGTCACCCAGGAACACGGCTCTGATCAAGGAATTCAAGAACCCAACAGAAAAATACAGAACAGAAACTACTGCGATAAAGCTCTAATACCTTGATTGGAGTGACAGTTACTCTTACATTTTTCAAAATTCATAAAGTTTACATTTAAGATCTGTTGCGGGGCGAGGGGGCGAAGCGGGGGAGAGCATCGGGACAAATAGCTAAGGCATGCAGGGCTTAACACCTAGGAGACGGGCGGATGGGTGCAGCAAACCGCCATGGCACATGTTTGCCTGTGTAACAAAACCTGCGTGTTCTGCACATGTATCCCAGAACTTTAAAAAAAAAAAAACTGTTCATTTTGTTGTATGTAAAATATACTTTAATTTTTTTCTTAATGCAGTAGGGTAAAAGTAGGCAGTCCTAGTAGTGGCCATAGTATAAAATGATGAATAACTGTCAATTTCCTTCCTTCCAGGTGTAGGAAGGTACATAAAATCAAAGATACAGGACAATCCTAGGCATTGGAGGAATAGCAAGTAAAAACCTAATGCTAAATGACGAGTTAATGGGTGCAGCACACCAACATGGCACATGTATACATATGTAACAAACCTGCACGTTGTGCACGTGTACCCTAATACTTAAAGTATAATAATAAAAAAAGAGATAAACTTCATGATACATAAAGCATATCTCAATAAAGCTGTTGAAAAAAAGGTAAAAAAGAGCAAGTAAAAATAATAGTTATAATTTGAAAATGTTATATATATCAGGCATTATAATAATGCTTTTTACCTGCATTATTTCAATTAATCCTTGAAACAGTTTTTTGAAGTAGATACTTCTCATTCAATACATATTGACTTTCTTCTATGCGCTCAGTATTGGGCTGGCTGGAAATCCAGGAGTGAGCAAGTCAGATATGGTAGCTGCTGCTTTTTTAAAAAAAGTTTTGAGATGGAGTCTCGCTCTGTCGCCCAGGCTGGAGTGCACTGGTGCGACCTTGGCTCGCTGCAACCTCCCCAAGTTCAAGCAATTCCCCTCCCTCAGCCTCCTGAGTAGCTGAGACTACAGGCGCATCACCACACCCGGCTAATTTTTGTATTTTTTTTTAGTAGAGACGGAGTTTCACCATGTTGGCCAGGTTGGTCTCGAACTCCCAGCCTCAAGTGATCCACTTGCCTCAGCCTCCCAAAGTGCTGGGATTACAGGTGTGAGCCACCATGCCTGGCCTATAGGAGCTGTTTCTAGGAAGCTTAAATTGTTTATTTTATAAAAGAAGAAACTGGCTGGGTGTAGTGGTTCATGCCTGTAATCCTAACACTTCGGGAGGCCAAGGCGGAGGATTGCTTGAGTTCAGAAGTTTGAGACTAGTTAGCCTGGGAGACATAGTGAGACCACGTCTCTATAAAAAAGAAAATTAGCCAGGTGTGGAGGTGCATTCCTGTAGTCCTAGCTCTCAGGAGGCTGAGGTAGGAGGATTGCTTGAGCCTGGGAGGTGGAGGCTGCAGTGAGTTGTGATCGTGCCACTGCACTCCTCCTGGGTGACAGAGTGAGACCCTGTCTCAAAAAAGACAGAAGAAACCATGAGAACCTAAGTAAGTTGCCCAAGGACACACCACGAGTTGATGGCAAAGTCTTTTTTTTTTATTTTGACAGAATCTCACTCTGTCACTCAGGCTGGAGTGTAGTGGCGCCATCTCAGCTCACTGCAACCTCTGCCTCCCAGGTTCAAACGATTCTCCTGACTCAGCCTCCCGAGTAGCTGGGACTATAGGCATGTGCCACCACAACCGATTAATTTTTTTTGGTTTTTATAGTAGAGATGGGGTTTCACCATGTTGGCCAGGCTGGTCTTGAACTCCTGGCCTCAAGGGATCTGCCTGCCTCAGCCTCCCAAAGTGCTGGGATTACAGGCGTGAGCCACCGCGCCTGTCTGCAAAGTCATTATTTTTTGAACCAACCTCCTTATAACTTCAAATACTTTACTCTTAACCACTGTACTAAAGCAGTGGTATTTAAATATCCAATATTCCACCTGCTCCTTCACGTTGTCCAGCTCCCTTGCAGTCAGACAGGGCCACGGGACTAGTTCTGGCCAATGAATCGTGAGACATGACATGTGTCACTTATTTGGCTGAGGCAATAAAGAGCTCTGGGTGATTCTCCAATCTCTTTTTCTCTCATGATGATGGAGAGTGCTGCATATTCTAGATGCTGCTGTCACAAAATGTGGGAAGTTCAGTCATCAATGACCCCGCTTAACAATGTGGACAAGAACTCCTGCCAGCTCTGAGAGGAGGAGGTAGCGTGAATGAAAAACAAGCTTCTGTTCTGTTTGGCCACACGGTGCATTGATGAGCCTGGGGAAGAAACGGAAATCTATTCATACTTTGCTGATGGGAGTATAAGTTGGTCCAACATCTTTGGGGGTCAACCTAAAAGTTACCTAACAAAATTCTAAATGCATAAGCCATTTGATCTAAGAAATTCTATTTCTAGGTATTTGTCCTATGGAAAAACCCCCTACTTGTGCACAAAGATAGATAAATAGATAGAAACATACACACGCACACACACAAATCATAGGTACTCTGTTAAACATAACATGCAGTAGCAAAATAGTTCAACCTACTTAGACGTTCTTTAAAAGGGGAATGATTTGTAAAAAGATACCGCATATCTATGGAATGTCTAATATCCAGTATTTTTAAAGAATAGATTTATTCGTCTAGATATGAATCAGTCAAGATCTGTAATTAAGTGAACAAAGCAAGATGCTATGGTGTATATGTACACTTTTAATTTTACTATTTTATTGAGGTATAATTGATGTGCACTGCACTACACAATTTAAAATAGATAACTTGATGGATTCGAGAGGGGTGCACACTGTGACACCATCCCATCCCCACTATCACATGTCCATCACCTACAAAAGTTTCTTTGTGCATCTTGGGCATCTCTCCCTTCCACCACTGCTCACATCCTCCAGTGCCACTACCTGTCACCAGGCAACCAGCGATTTTCTGTCACTATCAATTAATTTGCATTTTCAAGAATTTTATATAAATGGAACCAATAGTTCATTTTCATAGCTAAGTAGTAGTCTATTGTATAGCTATAATACATTCTGATAGCTATCTGGGTTGTTTCCACTTTTTAAAATATATATATTTAGAGGGTACAAGTGTAGGCTTCTTACGTGCACACATTCCATAGTGGTGACATCTGGGCTGTAGTGCTCCCATCACCTGAATAATGAACATTTTACCCAAAAGGTGGTTTTCCAGCCCTCACCAGCCTCCCACCCTCTCATCTTTTGGGGTCTCCAGAGTCTGTCACTCCATCTGTATGACCATATGTACCCACTGTTTAGCTCTCACTTATAAGTGAGAACATGCAGTATTGCACTCCCTCCCTCCCACCCTCCCACCCTCCTGCCCTTCCTCTCTTCCTCCTCCTCATCTTCTTCTTTCTTCTTCCTCTTCTCTCTCTCTTTCTTCTTTTCTTTGACTGAGTCTCACTCTGTCACCCAGGGTGGAGTGCAGTGGTGCAATCTCGGCTCACTGCAACCTCCGCCTCCCTGCAACCTCTGCCTCCCGGATTCAAGCGATCCTCTCGCCTCAGCTTCCTGAGTAGCTGAGATTACAGGTGCACACCACCACACCCGGATCATTTTTTTATTTTTTGTAGGGACGGGGTTTTGCCATGTTGGCCAGGCTGGTCTTGAACTCCTGACCTTAAGTGACCTGCCCGCCTCATGACTTTCTGTTTCTAAATTAGTTCATTGTTCCCACTTTTGAGCTATTGCAAATAAAGCTTCCATGAACCTCTGAGCACAAGCGTTTGTGTGGATGCAAGTTTTTGCTTCTCACGGATAGCCCTAGACATAGCATAGCTGGTCACATATTGGGTATTTATTTAACTTTTAAGGAAACTACCAAATTGTATTCTAAAGTAGTAGCAACAGTTTATATTCCCATCAGTAGCATGCAAAATTCCAGTGGCTCAACATCCTCACTAATACTTAGTATAGTCTGTCTCTTAAATTCTGGCCCTTTTAACGAGCACATAGCGGCATCTCGCTGTGGCTTCACTTGCATCTCCCTGACCACTAACGACGTTGAACGTCTTCCATGCACTTAGTGCCCATTTGTGCAGCTTTTAAGTCTTTATTCAAATATTTTAAAAATTTAAAAAATTTTGCTTGTCTTATTATTGAGTTATAAGAGATCTTTACCTATTCTGGATCTACATTATTAGATATATGATTTGCAAATATTTTCTTCCCATCTGTGGTTTGCCTTTTCATTTTTTAAATAGTACCTTTTGAAAAGCAAGTTTTTCATTTTGATGAAGTCTAACCTTTTCTTTCTTTCTTTTTTTTTTTTTTTTTCTGAGACAGAGTCTCGCTCTGCCGCCCAGGCTGGAGTGCAGTGGTGTGATCTCGGTTCACTGCAACCTCCGCCTCCTGGGTTCACGCCATTCTCCTGCCTCAGCCTCCTCAGTAGATGGGACTACAGACGCCTGCCACCACGCCCAGCTAATTTTTTGTATTTTTAGTGGAGACGGGGTTTTGCAGTGTTAGCCAGGATGGTCTCGATCTCCTGACCTCATGATCCGCCCACCTCAGCCTCCCAAAGTGCTGGGATTACAGGTGTGAGCCACCGCACCCGGCCGAAGTCTAACCTTTTCTTTTTTTTTGTATTCTACCTAAGAAAGTTTTGCCTACCCTAAAGATTTTCTCCTATGTGTTTTTAATGGAAATTTCATAATTTTAGATTTTACATGTAGGTCTATGCCTTTTTTTTTTTTTTTTTTTTTTTGAGACGGAGTCTCGCTCTGTCGCCCAGGCTGGAGTGCAGTGGCGCGATCTCGGCTCACTGCAAGCTCCGCCTCCCAGGTTCACGCCATTCTCCTGCCTCAGCCTCCCGAGTAGCTGGGACTACAGGCGCCCGCTACCACGCCCGGCTAATTTTTTGTATTTTTAGTAGAGACGGGGTTTCACCGTGTTAGCCAGGATGGTCTCGATCTCCTGACCTCGTGATCCGCCCGCCTCGGCCTCCCAAAGTGCTGGGATTACAGGCGTGAGCCACCGCGCCCGGCCAGGTCTATGCCTTTTTGAGTTAGTTTTTGTGGATGGTATGGGGTAAGGGTCAATGTTTACTTTTTTGCCCCTATAGATATCCAGTTGATCCAGCACCATTTGTTACAAAAACTTATCTTTCCCCATTGAATTGCCATGGCACATTTGTCAAAAATCGATTGGCCATATATGAATGGGTTTGTACCTGGACTCTGTTATGTCAATCTATATATCTATTTTTTTATTTTTATTTTTATTTTTGAGATGGAGTCTTGCTCTTTCGCCCAGGCTTGAGGGCAGCGGTGTGACCTCGGTTCACTGCAACCTCCACCTCCCAGGGTCAAGTGATTCTCCTGTCTCAGCCTTCCGAATAGCTGGGACTACAGGTGCGAGCCACCACGCCCAGCTAATTTTTGTATTTTGTTTTGTATTTTTGTTTTACCATGTTGGCCAGACTGGTCTTGAACTCCTGACCTCAGGTGATCCACCCGTCTTGGCCTCCGGAAGTGCTGGGATTACAGGCGTGAGCCACCGCACCCAGCCTATACATCTATTTGTTTGCCTGTACCAAACTGTCTTGGTTCCTGATGTAGGGGTGGGTTGCCCCTACACACCTGTGGGTGTTTCTCGTAAGGTGGGACGAGAGATTTGGAAAAGAAAAAGACACAGAGACAAAGTGTAGAGAAAGAAATAAGGGGACCCGGGGAACCAGCGTTCAGCATATGGAGGATCCCGCCAGCCTCTGAGTTCCCTTAGTATTTATTGATCATCCGTGGGTGTTTCTCAAAGAGGGGGATGTGTCAGGGTCACAAGACAATTGTGGGGAGAGGGTCAGCAGACAAACACGTGAACAAAGGTCTTGGCATCATAGACAATGTAAAGGATTAAGTGCTGTGCTTTTGGATATGCATACACATAAACATCTCAGTGCTTTACAAAGCAGTATTGCTGCCCGCAGGTCCCACCTCCAGCCCTAAGGCGGTTTTTCCCTATCTCAGTAGATGGAGCATACAATCGGGTTTTATACCGAGACATTCCATTGCCCAGGGACAGGCAGGAGACAGATGCCTTCCTCTTGTCTCAACTGCAAGAGGCATTCCTTCCTCTTTTACTAATCCTCCTCAGCACAGACCCTTTACGGGTGTCGGGCTGGGGGACGGTCAGGTCTTTCCCTTCCCACGAGGCCATATTTCAGACTATCACATGGGGAGAAACCTTGGACAATACCTGGCTTTCCTAGGCAGAGGTCCCTGCGGCCTTCCGCAGTTTTTGTGTCCCTGGGTACTTGAGATTAGGGAGTGGTGATGACTCTTAAGGAGCATGCTGCCTTCAAGCATCTGTTTAACAAAGCACATCTTGCACCGCCCTTAATCCATTCAACTCTGAGTTGACACAGCACATGTTTCAGAGAGCACGGGGTTGGGGGTAAGGTCATAGATTAACAGAATCTCAAGGCAGAAGAATTTTTCTTAGTACATAACAAAATGGAGTCTCCTATGTCTACTTCTTTCTACACAGACACAGTAACAATCTGATCTCTCTTGCTTTTCCCCACACCTGAGAGTTTATAAGCTTTGAAATCAGGTAGGGTAATACCTCTAGCTTTGTTCTTCTTCTTTCCTTCCTTCTCCTTCTTCTGCTCCTACTTCTCCATCTCCTTCTCCAGGCACCAGATACCGCAACATCAGATTAATGAGTGGAATGGACAGAACAAGCTCCTATTCTATTTTCTTGCTCTAGACGCCCATTTAATATATTGTCCTCAGATAGAGGACATATCAAATACTAAACTAATAATATAGACTACACTTAATCTTTGCCGAAAGGCTGAGAAAGAATTGTTCTTCTTTAAAAAAGAAAAAAAAAAAAAAAAAAAACACAACTGTTTCTGGCCGGGCACGGTGGCTCACACCTGTAATCTCAGCACTTTGGGAGGTTCAGGCGGGCAGATCACTTGAGGCCAGGAGTTCAAGGCCAGCCTAGCCAATGTGGCAAAACCCCGTCTCTACTAAACATACAAAAATTACCTGAGTGTGGTGTCAGACGCCCGTAATTCCAGCTACTTGGGAGGCTGAGGCAGGAGAATCATTTGAACCTGGGAGGCGGAGGTTCCTGTGAGCTGAGATTATGTCACTGCACTCCAGCCTGGGCAACAGAGAAAGACTCCATCTCAAAAATAAATAAATAAACAAACAATACAAAATAAAATAAAATAAAAAATTGTAACCAAGCGCAGTGGCTCATGCCTTTAATCCCAGCACTTTGGGAGGCTGAGGTGGGTGGATCACCTGATGTCAGGAGTTCAAGAACAGCCTGGCCAACATGGCAAAACCCTGTTTCTACTAACAATACAAAAATTAGCCAGGCGTGGTGGCAGGCACCTGTTATCCCAGCTACTGGGGAGGCTGAGGTGGGAGAATCCCTTGAACCCAGGAGGCACAGGTTGCAGTGAGCTGGGATCACGCCACTGCACTCCAGCCTGGGCGACAAAGCAAGACTCCATCTCAAAAAATAAAAGCTTCTCTAGGCCCTCCATATTTCCATATAACTCTTAGTATCACGTTGTCAATTTATGTAAAAAAGCCTTGAATTTTGTATGGAGTTGTGTTAACTCTATAGATCAATTTGGGAAAATTTGACATCTTAACAATTGCTATTGATTGAATGTCTTTGCCCGCCTCCCAGATTTACATGTTGAAACCTGATACCCAGTGTGGTGGTATTTGGACAAGGGGACTTTGGGAGATGATAAGGCCATGAGGATAGATCCCACATAAATGGGATTCGTGTCCTTACAACAGAGACCTTAGAGAGCTGCCTCCCTCCCTCTGCCATGTGAGGACACAATAAGAAGACAGCTGTCTATGAACAGGAAAGCCAGTCCTCACCAGATACCAAATCTGCTGCCTCAATCTTACACTTACCAGCCTCCAGAACATGAGAAATAAATGTTTGCTGTTTAAGCCACCTATATTGCTGTAGCAGCCCAAACAGATTAAGACAATCATACTGAATCTTCCAATTCATGAGATATATTTTTGCCAATTCAGAAATGTGGTATATTAATTGAAATCTTTAATTTCTCTCAGCAACATTTTGTAGTTTTCAGCATTAAAAATTTTAACATCTTTTGTTAAGTTTTTTCCTAAGCATTCCATGTTCTTTAGCACTATTGTAAATTAATTTTTAATAATTATTTGATGCCGTTACATAATACAAATGATTTTATTTATTTATTTTTTTGTAGAGACAGGGCTTTGCCACATTGTTCAGGCTGGTCTTAAACTTGTGAGCTCAGGCATTCTTCCTGCCTCTGTCTCCCAAAGTTCTGGGATTACAGGCATGAGCCACGGCTCCCAACCAAGAATACAAATCATTTTAATATAGCAATCTTGTATCCCGTGACCCTGACAAATTCATTTATTCATTCTAGAAGTTTTTGTAAATTTCTTGGGCTATTATACAGGAGCAATCATAAACTTTGCAAATAAAGATAACTGTACTTATTTCTTTTTTAAAAAAATTTTACTTTAAGTTCTGGGACACATGTGCAGAGCGTGCAGGTGTGTTACATAGGTAGACACGTGCCATGGTGGTTTGCTGCACCTACCAACCCATCATCGAGGTTTTAAGCCCTGCATGCATGAGGTATTTGTCCTAATGCTCTCCTTCCCCTTGCCCCCAACCCCCGACAGGCCCCAGTGTGTGATGTTCCCCTCCTTGTGTCCATATTGTTCAACTCCCACTTAGGAGTGAGAACACGCAGTGTTTGGTTTTCTGCTCCTGTGTTAGTTTGCTGAGAATGATGGGTTCCAGCTTCACCCATGTCCCTGCAAAGGACATGAACCCATTCTTTTTCATGGCTGCGTTTAATTAATTAATTAATTAATTATTGAGACAGAGTCTCCCTTTGTCACCCAGGCTGGAGTGCAGTGGCACAATCTTGGCTCACTGCAACCTCTGCCTCCTGTGTTCCAGTGATTCTGCTGCCTCAGCCTCCTGAGTAGCTGGGATTACAGGTGCCCACCACCAAGCCTGGCTAATTTTTGTAATTTTAGTAGAGACGGGGTTTCACCGTGTTGGCCGGGCTAGTCTCAAACTCCTGACTTCAATGATCCCCCCGCCTTGGCCTCCCAAAGTGCTGGGATTACAGGCGTGAGCCACGGCACCTGGTCCAATTCTAACTGTTTCTGATCATTATAGCTTTTCTTTCTTTTTCTAATCTTATCACATTGGCTAGGGCTTTCCCAACAATGTTGAAAAGGTGGTGAGAGGAAAGTGGAGCAAGATGCTCAAGTAGGGCCCTCCAGCAATCACCCCCCACCCCACCCAACCCCCGGCCCCACCCACCCCCACCCCACCCCTGCCCAGGACCACTAAACCGAAAACTCTCAAGTTGAGAAAAAACCTGCATAAGAACCGAAAATCAGATGAACAACTGCAGTATCTGGTTTTCATATCATCTCAAGAAAAGCACTGAAGAGGACAGGAAAGACGATCTTGAAATGCTAACATCACCCATCTCCTACCCCATGGCAGCAGTCCCACGGCATGGAGAGAGAATCCGTGAGCTGGGGGAGGTAGAGCACAGTGATGATGGGACTTTGCACGGCACGGAGAGAGAATCCGTGTGCTGGGGGAGGCAGAGCACAGTGATGATGGGACTTTGCATGGCAGGGAGAGAGAATCCGTGTGCTGGGGGAGGTAGAGCACAGTGATGATGGGACTTTGCATGGCAGGGAGAGAGAATCCGTGTGCTGGGGGAGGTAGAGCACAGTGATGATGGGACTTTGCACGGCAGGGAGAGAGAATCCGTGAGCTGGGAGAGGCAGAGCACAGTGATGATAGGACTTTGCATTGCCACTCGGTGCTGCCCAGTCACAGTGGAAAACAACACAGGGCAGCACTCACAGACACAGCATTTAAACCAGCCCTAGCAAAGACAAATCCTCAATCTCAGTGGTGTGAACCTGAATTCTAGCAAGCCACGCACTGCTGGCTAAAGAGCTCTGGGATCCTAAATAAACTTGAAAGGCAGCCTAGGCCACAGGGACTGCAATTCCTGGAAATACCCTGGAGCCAGTGGACTTGGGGTGCACATGACCTAGTGAGACACCAGCGGGGGCAGCCCAGGGAGTGCTTGTGTCAACCCTCACCCACCCCCAGGCTGCGCAGCTCACAGCACTGGGAGAGACTCCCTCCTTCTACTGGATGAGAGGAGGGAGGAGGATAAAGAGGACTTTGTCTTGCCACTTGGGTACCAGCTCAGCCACAGTAAAATAACTCACCAAGCAGAGTCCTGAAGCTCCCCTGTTCTAGGCCCCAGCTACTGGACAACATTTCTAGGCACATACTGGGCCAAAAGGAAACCTGCTGCCTGGAAGGAAAGGGTCTGTCCTGGCAGCCTTCTTCACCTCCCGACTAAATAGCCCTTGGGCCTTAAATAAATATCAGCAGTAGCCAGGCAGGCAGCACTCACCACAGGCCTTGGGGGAGACTCAGAGCCTTACTGGCTTTAAGTGTGACCCAGCACATCTCCAGCTGTGATGGCCACAGAAAGAGGCTCCTTCTCCTTGAGAAAAAGGGAGAGAAGAGTAAAGAGGACTTTGTCTTGCACTGGAGGTACCAGCTCAGCCATAGTAAATAAAGCAGCAAGCAGATTCCTGAAGTCCCAGATTCCCAGCCTTAGTTCCTGGATGGCATTTCTGCACCTGCTCTGGGCTGGAAGGGAATCTGCCGCCCTGAAAAGAAAGACACAAGCCTGGCTGCATTTGCCACCTGCTGACTAAAGAGCCCCTGGGGCTTGAAGAAACATCAGCGGTCACCAAGCAGTTCTTGCCACGGGCCTGGGGTGGTAGCGGCCATGGGGAGAAGACTCCTGCTTGGGGAAAGGAGAGGGAAGAGTGAAAACGACGCTGTGTTTAACTCGGGGGTCAGCACACCCACAGTAAAATCAAGCACCAAGTAGATTCCAAAAATTCCCAATTCTGGGCCCTAGCTCCCGGAAAGCATTTCGAGATTCACCCTGATTTCTAGACCCACCCTGGGCCAGAAGGGAACCTGCCACCCTGAAAGGAACAAGACAAGCCTGGCTGCATTCACCTCCTGCTCACCAAAGAGTACTTGGGCCCTAAACATCAGTGGGAGTGAAGCCATAGTTGCCGCAGGCTGTGGGAGAGACCCAGCGCTGGGCTGGCTTCAGGTCTGACCCAGCATGGTCCTGAGGAGAGAGGTCATTTCTCTTACTGTCTCCTGTCTCTGAAGAGAAGGAGGAAGTAAAAGCTGAAAAACAACAGGAATGAAGTCAGTGGCAAGACCAGCCGGCGCACTGATGACCAGGCCTGAGGTTAAAGATTAACCCCCGACTCTAACCAGATGTGCTCTCTATAGATCTCAATCTATCACAACCCTTTCATGTGGACCCCTTAGAGTTGTAAGCCCTTAAAAGGGCCAGGAACTCTTTCTTCTAGGAGCTTCGTTCTTGAGATGCAAGTCTGCCGACGCTCCCGGCCGAATAAAGCCTCTTCCTTCTTTAACCCGGTGTCTGAGGGGTTTTGTCTGTAGCTCATCCTGCTACAGTCCCAGTGCTGGTGGCCACAGGAGTGCTTGTGTCGCCCCTCCCCTAACTCCAGACAGCTCAGCATGGAGAGAAAGACTCCATTTGTTTGGGGTAAAGTGAAGGAAAAGAACAAGAGGCTCTGCCTGGTAATCCAGGGAATTCTCCCAGATCTTACTTAAGACCACCAAGGTGGTCCCTCTATGAGTCTGCAAGAGTCATAGTGTTACTGGGCTTGAGGTGCCTCTAATGCAGATGTGACTGCAGTGACAAAAGACTTAGGTCACAACCCTCAGTTCCCTTTGAATACCGGGAAAGCTTTCTCAAGAAGGACGGGAGGCCGGGTGCGGTGGCTCATGCCTGTAATCCCAGCACTTTGGGAGGCTGAGGTGGGTGGATCACCTGAAGTCGGGAGTTCGAGACCAGCCTGACCAACATGGAGAAACCCCATCTCTACTAAAAATACAAAATAAGCCAGGTGTGGTGGTGCATGCCTGTAATCCCAGCTACTCAGGAGGCTGAGGCAGGAGAACCACTTGAACCCGGGAGGTGGAGGTTGCAGTGAGCTGAGATTGCACCACTGCACTCCAGCCTGGGCAACAAGAGTGGAACTCCGTCAAAAAAGAATAAGAATAAGGAGGAGGAGGAAGAAAGAGGAAGGAGAAGGAGAAGGAGAAGAAGAAGAAGAAGAAGAAGAAGAAGAGGAAAAAGAGAAGAAGAAGAAGCAGCTCAGACTTGGTGGCTCATGCCTATAATTCCAGCACTTTGGGAAGCCGAGGAGGGAGGATCACTTGAATCCATGAGATCAAGACCAGCCTGAGCAGCACACTGAGACCCTGTGTCTACAAAAAATACAAAAATCAGCTGGACATGGTGGCATGTGCCTGTAGTCCCAGCTACGCGGGAGGCTGAGGTGAGAGGATCGCTTGAGCCCAGGAGGCTGAGGCTGCAATGAGCCATCATCATGCCATTGCACTCCAGCCTGAGTGGCAGAGTGGGACTCTGTCTCAGAAAAAAGAAACAAACAAAGACAGATGGGTACACACAAGCACAGACTGTGGAGATTACAATAAATAACTAATTCTTTAATGCCCAGGCATTGACCAACATCCACAAGCATCAAGAGCATCCAGGAAAACATGACCTCACAAGATGAACTAAAGAAGGCAGGAGTGACCAATCTCAGAGTGATGGACATGTGAACTTTCAGAGAAAACGCTCAAAATGGCTGTTTAGAGGAAGCTCAGGGAAACTCAAGACAACACAGAGAAGGAATTCAGAATCGTATCAAATATATTTCACAAAGAGATTGAAATAATTTTTTAAAACCGAGCAGAAATTCTCGACCTGAAAAATATCATTGACATACTGAAGAATGCATGAGATCTCTTACCAGCAGAACAGATCAAGCAGAAGAAAGAATTAGTGAGGTTGAAGACAGGCTATTTGAAAACACACAGTCAGAGAAGACAAAAGAAAAAAGAATAAAAAACTATAAAGCAAGAAATAAAATAAAAACAATGAAGCACACCTACAAGATCTAGAAAATAGCCTCAAAAGAACAAATCTAAGCATTAGAGGAGGTAGAGAGAGAGATCAGCATAGAAAATCTGTTCAAAGAGATAGTAACAGCTTCCCAAACCTAGAGAACTATATCAATATTCAAATGCAAGAAGATTGTAGAACACCAAGTAGATTTAAACCAAAGGTATTTAATAATCAAACTCCCAAAAGTCAAGGATGAAGAAAAAATTCTGAAGGCAGAAGGAGAAAAGAAACAAATAACATATAAGGAGCTCCCGTATATCTTGGAGCAGACTTTTCAGTGGAAACATTATAAGCCAGGAGAGAGGGGCATGGCATATTTAAAGAACTGAAGGAAAAAAAACTTTCATCCCAGAATAGTATATCCAGGGAAAATATTCTGAGGTCAGGAGTTTCAGACCAGCCTGGCCAACATGGTGAAAACCCATCACTAGTAAAAATACAAAAATTAGTCGGGTGTGGTGGCACCCATCTGTAATCCCAGCTACTCAGGAGGCTGAGGCAGGAGAATCACTTGACCCAGAAGGTGGAGGTTGCAGTGAGCTGAGATCACGCCACTGCACTCCAGCCTGGGTGACAGAGTGAGACTCTGTCTCAAAAACATAATAATAGGAATAATAAAGGAAAAGTGCAAAAATTCAAACAACTTAACAGAAACTGGGCAAAAGAGCTGAACCGGCCCTCCACAGAAGAGGAAATGTGGAGGAACGGCTAATGAAAACATGAAGAGGGGCTCAGCCTAACGGGGGAGATATCACGTGACACTCACCAGACGGGCAAAAATCTCACAACCCAATCCATGCCAGCGTTGGGGAGAATGGTGAGAAGCAGGAACACCAGGCACTGCTAACGCTTGTGAAGTATATTTCTGCTATGCTTGTATATGAAAGAGTGTGTGTTGTGGGTTATGAGGAAAATTACATTTCTTACCTGGGATGAAATTTTAAAACTTGAAAGCTACTGACCAGAAGAAACTTGCGCTTGTGTACAAAAGAAATGCCCAAGAACGTTCCCAACAAAACACAGTCCTAAGGGCCCCAACCTGGCCAAACACTCATCCACGGGAAGATGAAGACATTTCCCATGCTCCCCTCAGACGACGGGAGACCATGCAGCAATGAAAATGAGCCATGTCAGTGTGGGTGGGTCTCAGGGAGAGAATGGAGGACAAAAATAGACACAGAGCAGGTGCTCAGAGCCATGCAGTGTAGGAGCAGCCATGCAGGAGAATTCCCTCACGTCAAAGTTCAAAACTACAGCCGAGGCAACAGAGCAAGACCCTGCCTCAGAAAGAAAACAGAAAGTTCAAAAACTAAATGGCTTATTTTTTAGGGATGTACACACACGGTGAAAGAAATGTACTATGAAGGAAAGTGTGCAAATAATAAAGACTAAAGCAAGAAGTGATTCCCTCCGTAGGAGAAGGGAAGGGACTGGGACTCAGGCAGGGCCTCCAGGGAGCATCCAAAGTTATGTCTCTTCAGATTCTACTCCCTAAACTTGGTGGAGGTCCTCTGTGTCCAATGTGTCAATATTCTTTATACCTTACCCATACTGTAAAAACGCTTTATTTCTATTCAATATTTAGAAGACAGTTATAAACAGGATGCATTCAATAGCAAGGTGGCAGATGAACATCAGGAAGGAACATCCATGAGCTTCCATCCACGGAACCTCACCATGGATACGCTTGTGATCAAGGGCCTGGTCTCCCCTCAAGACACGGTCACAGATCAGAGGGCACACCATCCTAGCAGTGGAGCAGGACCAGCTGGGACAGGGTCCTTCTGTGACACCTGCTGCATCACCAGGCTGGGTGAACGGACACAATTGCCAGAACTCACAGAATAGAAGTATCAGCACCGAAACCTCACAGGAAAAATGGTAAGTTCTAAGTTTCTCCATTAATAGTAACTCTCAGATTAATCTCTGTCATCCATCGCTTCTCCAAGAAATGACTTTTTAGGGTGATGTGCCAGGCGCCATGTTGGAGGGCTGGTGGTAGCGGCTTGGGGAGGTGCTCACTCTGTCGGTCTCACTCTCTCACACGCTTCCCCGGCTCCCTTCGTTCCCCCCCACCCCACTTGGCCTGCGTGCTGGAGGGTGTGCGAGGGAGTGGGAGGACGTCGGGGGGTGGGGGGAGGCGTTCCGGTCCCCAAGAGACCCGCGGAGGGAGGCGGAGGCTGTGAGGGACTCCGGGAAGCCATGGACGTCGACAGGCTCCAGGAGGCGCTGGAAGATTTTGAGAAGAGGCAAAAAAGAAAGTCTGTCCTGTCCTGGATCAGTTCCTTTTGTCATGTAGCCAAGACTGGAGAAACAGATTCAGTGGTCCCAATTTAAAGGCTATTTTATTTTCAAACTGGAGAAAGTGATGGATGATTTCAGAACTTCAGCTCCTGCGCCAAGAGGTCCTCCCAACCCTAAAGTCGAATATATTCCCTTTGATGAAACAAAGGGAAGAATACTGAAAACTGTCACTGGATTTAACCGTATCCCTTTTACTATTCAGCGATTATGTGAATTGTTAACAGATCCAAGGAGAAACTATACAGGAACAGACAAATTTCTCAGAGGAGTAGAAAAGAACGTGATGGTTGTTAGCTGTGTTTATCCTTCTTCAGAGAAAAACAATTCCAATAGTTTAAATCGAATGAATGGTGTGATGTTTCCTGGAAATGCACCAAGCTATACTGAGAGGTCTAATATAAATGGGCCTGGGACACCCAGGCCACGTAATCGACCAAAGGTTTCTCTGTCAGCCCCATGACAACAAATGGGTGGCCTGAGAGCACAGACAGCAAAGAGGCAAATTTGCAGCAAAATGAAGAGAAAACTCACAGTGACTCTTCGACATCTGAATCAGAAGTTTCCTCAGTGAGCCCTTTGAGAAATAAACATCCAGATGAAGATGCTGTGGAAGCTGAGGGGTATGAGGTAAAAAGACTCAGGTTTGACAAAAAGGCGAAGTCGGAGAAACAGCCAGTCAAGAGACTTGCAGCGAAATTTCTTCAGTTATGGTAGAAGAAACAGAAGCATCACCTTCATCTCATGATAAAGACAAAGAAAGCTGTGGTACCCGGCAGCGTGTTCAGAAGAGGATGAAGAAGATGAAGAGGAAGAAGAAGGGACTGAGAGACCATCTGTAAAAGGGAGGAGTAAGGAGATCCTCAAATTCTTGCATTCATTGTTTTCGTGAAAGAACTGTACGTCATGGAACTCCTTGTAATGCCGACGCTGGGCTTTTCTCCCACCTGTATGCAGTTGCTGCTGAATTTCAGGGGATGTGATTTGAACTACAGAGCATCAGAATTCATGAAACTTAACTGTGGAGGTATTTTGAAAACAAAATTTAAGTACAACAACATTTGCTTAGTTTTAGAGTCTTTTATGACATCAAGAGAAATGATCCCAGAAAGAAATAAACAAGAAAAAGAATCTGATGATGCCTCAACTGTGAATGAAGAGACTTCTGAGGAAAATAATGAAATGGAGGAATCTGATGTGTCTCAAGCTGAGAAAGATTTACTACATTCTGAAGGTAGTGAAAACGAAGGCCCTGAAAGTAGTGGTTCTTCTGACTGCCGTGAAACAGAAGAATTAGTAGGATCCAATTCCAGTAAAACTGGAGAGATTCTTTCAGAATCATCCATGGAAAATGATGACGAAGCCACAGAAGTCACCGATGAACCACTGGAACAAGACTATTTAGAAACATATACATGCAGTATTTTACACACAGTTCTGGTTTTAACACTGTGTAAAACTTTTATGTAAAAACGTGCACCTTTAGTTTTACAAGAAAAGCAGGTTGTAAAATAAAGTACTTTATGGATAATTCCTGAAAGAGTTGTCCATGTAAGAACTGTGAATATCAGCTCCTCTGGGTCCTGCTTACCTTACCGCTGATTTCTCTTTCTTTCTTTCTTTCTTTTTTTGGTCTGGGCAAATCAGTGGTTTGTATATAGAAGTTTTTTTTTTAATTTAGGACTGAAGTCTTTAAACTGGAAAGTAATTATAATTTTGAACAGTTTTTTGAGATTATCACATTTAGTTTATACATATGCAAGAAGCTTTTTGTCTTGTGTCTTTCTGATAGCTCTAGCAGTTTTCATATTTTGGTCATAGTTTCAACATTTTAACATGTGAATAATAGAGTTTCATGCTGGTTTCCAGATTGTATTGTTCGGCTACATACAATAGAACCTTAAGTTTTATATATATGTATATATTATTCTAAGGGGGAAAATGTTATATTTTTCTGTTGGTATAAGAGATAAATACAGTGGATACTTTTTCTATTGGTAATGATTGAATTCACCTCTTTCAGAAGACATTTTCTTTCTCTTCTGAGTAACTGAAATAAAATCTGGCCTTTGTGAAACCCTGGAAATACCACAACCCTCAACTAGAAACACCAATACCAGCTCCTCCGCGAGTTTCCAGCTCCACAACCTAAGACATCAGAGGCAGCATTGGTTCCTCACGTAGAGTCCAGCTCCGGGACCCTCATATTTGAACCGCAGGGCCATCTCATCCCTGGATCTCCAGCTGCACCACACTCAAATTAGAACAACATCAGTTCCTCCCCAGGTCTCCACCTGCACAGCCCTCGAAAGGGAACATCAGCTCCTCCCCGGGTCTCCAGCTGTAGGTCCCTAAAACTAGAACATCAGCTCCCGCCTGGGTCGCCAGCAGCACCACCCTCAAACTGGAACATCAGATCCCCATGGGTCTCCAGCTGCAGGGCCCTCAAACTGGAACATCAGCTCCCCCACCAGATCTCCAGCTGCACGGACCTCAAACTGGAACATCAGCTCCCCGCCGGGTCTCCAGGTGCACTGCCTGCAAACTGGAACATGAGCTCCCTGCCGGGTCCCCAGCTGCATGGCCCTCAAACTGGAACATCAGCTCCCCACCAGATCGCCAGCTGCACGACCCTCAAACTGGAATATCAGCTCCACCCCGGGGCTCCAGGTGCACAGCCCTCAACTTGCAACATCAGCTCCCCACCGGGTCTCCAGCTGCACGGCTCTCAAACAGGAACATCTGCTCCCCACAGGGTCTCCAGCTGCACGGCTCTCAAACAGGAACATCAGCTCCCCACAGGGTCTCCAGCTGCACGGTCCTCAACCTGCAACACTGGCTCCCCACCAGGTCTCCAGATGCACGGCCCTCAAACTGCAACATCAGTTCCCCCCGGGTCTCCAGCTACACCGCGTCAACCTGGAACATCAGCTCCCCGCCGGGTCTCCAGCTCCACGGCCCTCAAACTGCAACACTGGCTCCTCACCGGGTCTCCAGATGCACGGCCCTCAAACTGGAACATCAACTCCCCACCGGGTATACAGCTGCATGGCCTTAAACTGGAACATTAGCTCCCCGCCCAGGTCTCCAGATGCACGGCCCTCAAACTGGAACATCAGTTCCCCGCCAGGTCTCCAGCTGCACGGCCCTCAAACTGGAACATCAGCTTCCCGCCGGGTCTCCAGGTGCACGGCCCTCAAACTGCAACATCAGCTCCCTGCTGGGTATCCAGCTGCACAGCCCTCAAACTGGAACATCAGCTCCCCGCCAGGTCTCCAGGTGCACGGCCCTCAAATTGGAACATCAGCTCCCCGCTAGGTCTCCAGGAGCACGGGCCTCAAACTGGAACATCAGCTCCCTGCCAGGTCACCAGCTGCATGGCCCTCAAACTGGAACATCACCTCCCCGCCAGGTCTCCAGCTGCATGGCCCTCAAATTGCAACATCAGCTCCCATCAGAGTCTCCAGCTGCATGGCCATCAAACTGGAACATCAGCTCCCCCGCGGGTCTCCAGCTGCACAGACCTCAAACTTGGACATCAGCTCCCCGCCGGGTCATCAACTGCACGGCCCTCAAACTGGAACATCAGCTCCACCCTTGGGTCTCCAGCAGCACGGCCCTACAACTGGACCATCAGCTTCCCCCCGGGTCTCCAGCTGCACAGCCCTACAACCGGAACATCAGCTCCCTGCCGGGTCTCCAGCTGCACAGCCCTCAAACTGGAACATCAGATCCCCACTGGGTTCAAACTATTCCAGTTTGAGGGCCGTGCAGCTGGAGACCCGGCGGGGAGCTGATGTTCCAGTCTGAGGGCCGTGCAGCTGGAGACCTGGTGGGGAGCTGAAGTTCCAGTCTGAGGGCCATGCAGCTGGATACCCGGTGGGGAGCTGAAGTTCCAGTTTGAGGGCCGTGAAGCTGGAGACCCGGTGGGGAGCTGAAGTTCCAGTTTGAGGGCCGTGCAGCTGGAGACCCGGCGGGGAGCTGATGTTCCAGTCTGAGGGCCGTGCCGCTGGATACCCGGTGGGGAGCTGAAGTTCCAGTCTGAGGGCCGTGCAGCTGGATACCCGGTGGGGAGCTGAAGTTCCAGTTTGAGGGCCGTGAAGCTGGAGACCCGGTGGGGAGCTGAAGTTCCAGTTTGAGGGCCGTGAAGCTGGAGACCCGGTGGGGAGCTGATGTTCCAGTTTGAGGGCCGCGCAGCTGGAGACTCGGGGGTAGCCGATGTTGCAGTTTGAGGGCCGTGCAGCTGGAGACCCGGGTGGGAACCAATGTTCCAGTTTGGGAGCCATGCAGCTGGAGGCACTGCGGGGAGCAGATGTTCCAGTTTGATGTTCCTCCCTGGGTCTCCAGGTGCACGGCCATCAAACTGGAACATCAGCTCCCCGGCCCTCAAACCAGAACATCAGCTCCCCGCCGGATCTCCACCTGCACAGCCGTCAACATCAGCTCCTCCCCGAGTCCTCAGCTGCACGACCCTCAAGTTAGAACATCAGCTTCTCCCCAAGTCTTCAGCTGCGTGACCCTCAATCTAGAACATCAGTTCCTCTCCGGGTCTGCAGCTGCAAGACCCTCAATCTAGAACGTCAGCTCCTCCCTGAGTCTCCAGCTGAAAGACCCTCAAAACAAACAACATCAGCTCCTCCCCGAGTCTTCAGCTGCACGACGCTCAATCTACAACATCAGCTCCTGTCTGGTTCTCCAGCTGCACGACCCTCAAACTACAACCTCAGCTCTTCCCCGAGTCTTCTGCTGTATGACCCTCATCTAGAACATAAGCTCCTCTCTGGGTGTCCACCTGTAGGGAACTCAAATTAGAACGTCAGCTCCTCCCAGAGTCTTCAGCTGCATGACCCTCAATCTTTAACATCAGCTCCTCTCCGGGTCTGCAGCTCCATGACCCTAAAAATACATCAGCAGCTCCTCCCTGAATCTTCAGCTGTACGACCCTCAAACTACAACATCAGCTCCTGTCTGCATCTCTAGCTGCACGGCCCTCAAACTAGAATATCAGCTCCTCCCCGAGTCTTCACCTGCACGACCCTCAAACTAGAACATCAGCTCCTGTACAGATTTCCAACTGTAGGGCCCTCAAACTAGAACATCAGCTCCTCCCCAAGTCAGCAGCTGCAAGACCCTCAAATTACCACCTTAGCTCCTCCTGGAGTCTTCAGCTGCACGACCCTCAATCTCGAAGATCAGATACTCTCCGGGTCTTCAGCTGTAGGGCCCTCAAACTATAACATCAGCTCCTCTCTGAGTATTCAGCTGCACGACCCTCAATCTCGAACATCAACTCCTCTTCAGGTGTGCAGCTGTAGGGCCCTCAATCTAGAACATCAGCTCCTCCCTGAGCCTTCTGCTGCATGACCCTCAAACTAGAATCTCAGCTCCTCCCGAGTCTTCAGCTGCATGACCCTCAAACTAGAACCTCAGCTCCTCCCTGAGTCTTCAGCTGCATGACCCTTAATCTAGAACATCAGCTCCTCCCCGAGTCTTCAGCTGCATGACCCTCAATCTAGAACATCAGCTCCTCTCCAGGTTTGCAGCTGCAAGACCCTCAAACTAGAACATCAGCTCCTCTCCAGGTCTGCAGCTGCAAGACCCTCAAACTAGAACATCAGTTCTCCTACAGTTCTGCAGCTGCAAGACCCTCCATGTAGAACATCAGCTCCTCACCGAGTCTTCACCTGCATGACCCTCAAACTAGAACATCAGCTCCTCTCCACGTCTCCAGCTGCATGACCCTCAAAGTAGAACATCAGCTCCTCTCCGGCTCTGCAGCTCCAAGATCCTCAAACTAGAACATCAGCTCCTCTCCAGGTCTGCAGCTGCAAGACCATCAATCTAGAACATCAGCTCCTCTCCAAGTGTGCAGCTGCACGAGTCTCAATCTAGAACATTGGCTCCTCTCCAGGTGTACAGCTGCACGACTCTCAATCTAGAACATCAGCTCCTCTCCAGGTCTGCAGCTACAAGAACCTCAAACTAGAACATCAGCTCCTCTCCAGGTCTCCAGCTGCATGACCCTCAAACTAGAACATCAGCTCCTCTCCGGGTCTGCAGCTCCACGACCCTCAATCTAGAACATCAGCTCCTCCCCGGGTCTTCAGCTGCACGACCCTCAAACTAGAACATCAGCTCCTCCCTGGGTCTGCAGCTGGAAGATCCACTAACTAGAACATCAAATCCTGTCTGGGTCTCCAGCTCCATGACCCTCAATCAAGATTATCAGCTCCTCCCTGAGTCCCCAGCTGAAAGACCCTCAACGCGAACAACATCAGCTCCTCCTGAAGTCCTCAACTGCATGACCCTCAAACTACAACATCAGCTCCTCCCCGAGTCTTCAGCTGCATGACCCTCTATCTAGAACATCAGCTCCTCTCCAGGTCTGCAGCTGCAAGAACCTAAAATTAGAACATCAGCTCCTCTCTGGGTCTGCAGCTGGAAGATCCACTAGCTAGAACATCAGCTCCTGTCCGGGTCTCCAGCTCCGTGAACCTCAATCAAGATTGTCAGCTCCTCCCTGAGTCTCCAGCTGAAAGACCCTCAACGCGAACAACATCAGCTCCTCCCGAAGTCCTCAACTGCATGACCCTCCAACTACAACATCAGCTCCACCCCGAGTCTTCAGCTGCAGGACCCTCAATCTAGAACATCAGCTCCTCTACAGGTCTGCAGCTGCACGACCCTCAATCTAGAACATCAGCTCCTCTACAGGTCTGCAGTTGCAAGACCCTCAAATGAGAACATCAGCTCCTCTCCGGATCTGCAGCTGCTAGACACTCAAACTAGAACATCAACTTCTGTCCAGGTCTCCAGTTCCGTGACCCTAAATCTAGAACATCAGCTCCTCCCTGAGTCTCCAACTGAAAGACCCTCAATGCGAACAACTAAAGCTCCTCCCCAAGTCTTCAGCTGCACGACCCTCAATCTAGAACATCAGCTCCTCTACAGGTCTGCAGCTGCAAGATCCTCAAACTAGAACATCAGCTCCTCCCCGAGTCTTCAGCTGCATGACCCTCAATCTAGAACATCAGCTCCTCTCCGGGTCTGCAGCTGCAAGAACCTAAAACTAGAACATTACCTTCTCTCCAGGGCTCCAGTTCTATGACCCTAATTCTAGAACATCAGCTCCTCCCTGAGTCTCCAACTGAAAGACCCTCAACGCGAACAACATCAGCTCCTCCCCAAGTCTTCAGCTGCAAGACCCTCAAACTAGAACATCAGCTCCTCTACAGGTCTTCAGCTGCACGACCCTCAAACTAGAACATCAGCTCCTCCCCGGGTCTGCAGGTGCAAGACCCTCAATCTAGAACATCAGCTCCTCTCCGGGTCTGCAGCTGGGAGACCCTCAATCTAGAACATCAGCTCCTCTCCGGGTCTGCAGCTGCATGACCCTCAATCTAGAACATCAGCTCCTCTCCAGGTCTGCACCTGGGAGACCCTCAAACTAGAACATCAGCTCCTCCCCGGGTCTGCAGGTGCACGAACCTCAATCTAGAACATCAGCTCCTCTCCGGGTCTGCAGCTGCATGACACTCAATCTAGAACATCAGCTCCTCCCCGAGTCTGCAGGTGCACGACCCTCAATCTAGAACATCAGCTCCTCTCCGGGTCTGCAGCTGCATGACCCTCAATCTAGAACATCAGCACCTCTCCGGGTCTGCAGCTGCATGACCCTCAATCTAGAACATCAGCTCCTCTCCGGGTCTGCAGCTGCATGACCCTCAATCTAGAACATCAGCTCCTCTCCAGGTCTGCAGCTGGGAGACCCTCAAACTAGAACATCAGCTCCTCCCCGGGTCTGCAGGTGCACGACCCTCAATCTAGAACATCAGCTCCTCTCCAGGTCTGCAGCTGCACGACCCTCAATCTAGAACATCAGCTCCTCTCCAGGTCTGCAGCTGCATGACACTCAAACTACAACATCAGCTCCTCTCCGGGTCTGCAGCTGCATGACACTCAAACTAGAACATCAGCTCCTCCCCGGATCTGCAGCTGCAGGACCCTCAAGGTAGAATATCAGCTCTTCCCCGAGCTAAAACACCTCTCCCACCTGGATCTCCAGCTCCACGAGTCTCACAGAACAGCCACACTGGCTCCTTCATTGTCTTCAGCTCCACAACCTAAGACATCAGTGGGAGCACCGGCTCCTCCCTGGACCTCCAGCTCAACGAATCTCATAGACTTAAAAGGCAGCACCTGCTCCTCCCCAAGGCTCCATCTCCACCACCCTCAGATTTGAACAGCGGTAGCACCACCTCCTCTCCAGGTCTTCAGCCCCACGTCCCTCCCTGAACAATCCCTTCTCATGAAATTCAGCAGTCAAGAAATCTGCAGCGGAAGTAAATGAATAAATGTTTTGTTTTCAAATCGATACCTCTTTTATGTTCATGAGTTAACTTTTCTACTTTCCATTAGCCTTGCAATCTACTTATGTCCAATGTGAAACAGAAACACACCATTTGAAATCACGTTTAAAAACTTAGTAGTTTTTCAATAAAATCATCACACAGCTGTAGACACGATCTTATTTCTCTCTGCCTGTGCAGAAGTCTTATGAAAATTCAAACTATGAATTTACTTTGTTGAGATTCCCAGAATACACATTAATCCCAACTGTTACTCCCCTCCTTAAAATCTTTTAACACATTCCCATCACCTGAGCATAAATGCCAGCTCCCATCCACAGCCCAAAGTGCCCAGCACGGCCCTGCCCTCTGCCCTGGTCTATGGTCTCCCCTCTTAAATGCCAGCACCATCCACAGCCCACAGTGCCCAGCACGGCCCTGCCCTCTGCCCTGCCCTCTGCTGTGGCCTAAGGTCTCTCCCCTGTGCCATTCCCTTCCTGACGGACAGGCCTCTGTCCGTTCCTCAAACCACACAGGCTCAGGCCTGACTCCAGGCCTTTGCACTTCTGTGCCCTCTGCCTAGGGTGCCTTTCCCGGGCTCTGCATCCTCCTCTCAACCCGCTGAGCTCCAGCCTGCTGGTCGCCCCTCAGGTGGATGAACACACGGTGTCCTCTCGCCCCACCAGCTTTTGCACAGGCTCTTCTCTGTGCCAGACACACACCCTCTCTATCGGGGTTTACTCTCTAAATACCATTCATCCTTGGAGTCTCCACTGAAATATCGCTCCCTGCCCACCCCCCTCACTTGGACTTAACCTTGGTTAGGTTGCCAACCCCCGTCTCCTGACTCCGGGAAGCTAGATGCTCTCCTAGCACTCGGAACTTGCCCATCGCCACATTTGCACACCCCTGGTTACTGGGTTAGGTTGGCGCACAAGTCATCGCGGGTTTTGCCATTACTATTAATGAACGGCAGCAATGGCTCCTCCCCGTTTCTTTTTTTTTTTTTTTTTTGCCATTACTTTTAATGACTGCTGCACCAACCTATTAGAATCATTTATATTTATCCATCCATCATGTGTCTTCCCCTCTAGAAAGGAAGCTCCATGAGAATAGAGGCCAAATCTACTCAAATCACTCCACCTTCCCAGCACATTGTTTGTCAATAATCATTTACCAACTGACTGATAGAGAAATGCCTTCCCTGTTGCTGGGATGAGGCACATGACACGCCCCTTTGAAAGTCAATTCCATGGACAGTTAGCATTTGCTCTTCACTACTGCACCTGTGGCATGGCTGGGCTTAGGCTGATCTAGTCTGGCCTTGACTCCAGGCTAAGGATGGGAACCATGCCTGCTCCACACGCCTCTCATCCCACAGCCAGAGCCGCCGTTCCCTGGAGCACGCACATCTCGTGGGGAAAATCAAGAGCCTTAGAGGGCAGGCCTGGCAGTGCCCACAGATTCCAGGCTTCTGCTTGTACCGTGTCTGTGAAAATCTCATTGGCAGAAGCAAGTCACCCAGCCACGAGCAACACCTATGGGATGGATAAGTCCATCCACCCTCCCTCGGGCCCTGGCAAGGTTGTGGCTATGTCATACTCTTACGGGGGGAGTGAAAAATTGATGCGCAACATTAAATCACCCAGGCAAGAAATGTCAGCCTCTGTCCTCGCGCTGGAATCATTCTTCACCACCGGGTTTGCCTGAATTCCCTTTGCAATGGTGTCTGCAGGTTTAGCCCAATGCTGGTCCCCGTGGAGGACAGAGAAGCCTCAATGGGCCTCCGTCTGTTGGGAAGAACAAGATATTAGCTTGGCGCAAAACCACCGCAAGCCCCAGGGGGCCCTTGCGCCATGAGACAGGAGAGGGGCAGAGAACTGTGGGAGCTCAGGAAAGCTCACATCCCCAGCCCCTCCCGTGCATCCCCAGCCCCTCCACTGTGACCCCAGCACCAACCCTCTCCCCTGCTTGCCCCATCTCTGCTTTCTTTTTTTCATTTTCTTTCTTTCCTTGTTTTTGAGACAGGGTCTGGCTGTGTCACTCAGGCTGGAGTGCAATGGCACGATCTCAGCTTACTGCAACCTTCACCTCCTGGGCTGAAGCAATTCTCCCTCCTCAGCCTCCCCAGTGGCTGGGACTACAGGTGCACGCCACCATACCCAGCTAATTTTTTTTTTTTTTGGTAGAGACAGGATTTGCCATGTTGCCCAGGCTGGTCTCAAATTCCTGAGCTCAAGTAATCCTCCCACCTCAGCCTCGCAAAGTGCTGGGATTACAGGCATGAGCCACCGAGTCCAACCTACTTTATTTTTCTCTACAGTACTTGGAACCTTCTAATGTACTAAGGACACGTGTATTTTCTTTCTTTTTTGTCTTCCCTAGAACAGGAGCTTAATGTGGGCAGGTATTTTTGTTGATCTCATTTATCACCCTCTCCCCAGTTCCTGGAACAGGGTCTGGCACATGAATGGTGTGTTCTAAATAAATATTTTTAATAGATAAAAAAATGAAATATCCTACAAGAGAAAGCTATATCTGGAACTCACCCATCAACAGAACCTAAAGGACAAAGACCTTTAGCCTGTCTCTGCCTCTGAACACACCCAACCCCGGAGGAGCCAGCAGAGGAAAAAGAGGACAAAGGCGGGGAAGGGAGCAGGTGGTGCCCACCAAGTAAGGAACCCTGAGGCTTAGGCGGAACCTGAGCTGGAGAAGGGACTCATCTAGGAACTGGGTATGAGATTAAAGTTTAGATTGGTCTGGCCTGGATTTTGTAACACCTAAACAAGAGTTATTCTATTCTTTTTTTGTGTTTTTTTTTTTGAGATGGAGTCTCACTGTCCCCCAGGCTGGAGTGCAGTGGCGCTATCTCAGCTCACTGCAACCTCTGCCTCCCAGGTTCAAGTGATTCTCACGCCTCAGCCTCCCGAGTAGCTGGGATTACAGGCGCACAACACCATTCCCGGCTAATTTTGTATTTTTAGTAGAGATAGAGTTTCACCATGTTGGCCCCCTGGCTCACGCCTGTAATCCCAGCACTTTGGGAGGCCGAGGTGGGCGGATCATGAGGTCAGGAGATTGAGACCATCCTGGCTAACACAGTGAAACCCCATCTCTATTAAAAATACAAAAAATTAGCTGGGCGTGGTGGCAGGTGCCTGTAGTGCCAGCTACTCAGGAGGCTGAGGCAGGAGAATCGCTTGAACTCCAGATGCAGAGGTTGCAGTGAGCCAAGATCAATGCCATTGCACTCCAGCCTGGGTGACAGGGCGAGCCTCCATCTCAAAAACAAACAAACAAACAAACAAAAAACCTTCAAACGAATCTAAGAATTATTATTTTTTAAAGTACAACTTTAAAAATGCCCCTTACAAATACAACAGTGTTATATTAAGGCAAACCCACTTCAGAAGCACAAAGTTAATTTCTTATAATTCCAATAAATATGTGAATGTTAAAAAAACCCAAACACCCGAAAAGGGATCAAACTCAAGATAGTTTGTAACATTTTATTGCAAAAAGAAGGGCAGAGAACAGTCTTCTTCATACCTGTTCACCACAGTAATTTTTAGCGGCTCTCCTGTGCAAAGAAGTCTCATCAATGAACCAGCGTACGGGCCACAAATACCTTCTCAGTGCGGTTTCACCTACAATACAAGCACTCAGAAGCACAAATTTAACTGAAGTGAGAAACCAGGCCATTTTGTAGCTTCAGTTTTTCTACCAGTAATATATTAATTTCTTGAAATAGCCTAATAATTTAGTTCTACTATCAAAACAGAAGCCCAATCTGGGAGAACAATTATTATACAAGTCAAACTAATTTCAATCATATTAGTATAGGAATTCATATTAGTATAGGCTAATAATTCATATTAGTAGAGGCGGGAGGATCGCTTGAGCCTAGGAGTTTGAGACCAGCCTGGGCAAGACAGTGAGACTCCATCTCTAATTCTTTTTTTTAAATAAAGAAATTCAGAGAGGAGAAGGAAGCGGACTGATATGTGTCTATCCAAGGACAAATTTTGTGTGCCTGTACATACAACACAACTATGAACCTTCCTTCACGCAGCTCACAATCTAGTAGCGAGAAGAAACTACGAAAACATGAGCCCCCACGGTGAGGAAAAAGGCGCATATCAGAGAAAAGAAAAATGCTGCGATGATCCAATGGCAGGAGCAGCGCGCATCCACTTTCTTTGTTTTTTTGAGATGGGGTTTCGCTCTGTCTCCCAGGCTGGAGTGCCGTGGCTTGATCTCAGCTCAATGCAGCCTCAACCTCCCAGGCTGAAGTGATCTTCCCATCTCAGCCTCCCAAGTAGCTGGAACTACAGGCGTGCACCACTACACGTTTACTTTTTGTAGAAACAGGGTCTCACAATGTTGCCAAGGCTGGCATCCTGAAGGGCGGGTGGGGCTTCATCCTACAGAGATGAAAGGCAGAAGCTCAGAGCCCAAAGCAAAGGGGTGGAGGACAAGGGCATCTTCAGAACAGAGTGGCTCGGCTGAGACATCCAGTAGGATGCCACCAGGCAGAGGTGTGGTGGAAAAACACAGGGCCACAGGGTGAATGGTCACATGTCAGGAGCAAACCACCACAGAACATGACAGAAACACGGTGTACTAAATCAGGCTTCAAATCGCAGCCCTGCAACTTCAGAGCTACCACAGGTAACCCAGAAAGGGAGCATGGACAGCACCACCCACTGCCTGAGGCTATGAGATGGACCAGAAACCTGTGCTTACTACCAGCCTGCCTTATTCCAGAAGGAATTCAGGAAACACAAAGACACTCACAGTACAGCAAAATAAAGTAAATGTGAATCATGTTGGCTGAGGAGAAACGGAAGAGTCTAAGACTATGTCATAAAGTTTACCTCTACTCTAAACTCTCATTACTGGCGAGCCACCAATCTGACTTTAAGTTCTCTAGCAGCTAAACTGAAGAGGAAAATGTAATCAGGTAAAGGTTTATAAGATGCAAACAAAACAGGACAGCCACCACAGTTGCTGAGAACACGCGCAGCTCCAGCTCCAGGAGAAACAGGGTGGCCATCTCCTGGGGCTGCCCCGCAGCAGGTGTGTCAGCCCCAAAGCCAGCGTCTCTCAGGGTAAACGGTGACTACGGGCTTCATGGGGCCACATGCCTCCAACACAAGCTGAGGAAATCTCCCAGGGCAATTCAAGGAACAGGGTCTCACAATGTTGCCCAGGCTGGTCTCAAACGATCCCCCTGCCTCGGCCTCCCAAGGTGTTGGGAGGTCAGACGTGAGCCACTGCATCTGGCCCCGCATGCACTTTATAGAGGAGGGCTTTGCATCCTGTACGGCGGGTGGGGCTTCATCCTGCAGAGATGAAAGGCAGAGGAAGCTCAGAGCCCAAGGTAAAGGGGGGCGCCTAACAAAAGCGACTCCATTGGGACCACGGTGAGAGGGTCCCCATACACAGCTTGGGTTAAGCCAGACACTGATTTCAAAGTATCTCAGGAATGGTGGACTCAGCACCTGTCAGGCAATTCTCTCTCTCAAGCAGGCTCCTGGTAGATATTTAGTAGCAGCTGAAATCAAGATTATGTTCTGACTGACACTTGCTGAGGGTTAAAGAGCTATATACGCTTTGAGGACCAGCTGAACTTGGGCAGGACTAACACCCTCTGGTGAAAATACGGGAACCCAAACACACGAGTCAGAGCAGGAGGTGTCTCCCCCACCCCCAAACAATAACGCTGACCTTGGATTTGGGTTAAGTGCCTAGCCCAGGGGTGTGAGTGTTCAGGAAGTGGAAACCATCATCACCATCATCAGGTAATGGAAAACCATCAAAGCTTTGAGCTGGCTTGTTAGCCAAGAATAGTAGTAGTGTATTAGCTACTACTAATACTCACAGCTGACAATTACTGAGCACTTGCTCCGTGCCAGGAATCACGGGAAGCACCTCACATGCATTTCCTCAATTCTCCCTCCCAGTAATGGCGAGGACACAAAACTGGTAGAGCCAGGACTGGAATCCAGGCAGGCCCCAAAGCACTCCAGTGGAGCCTGCCAAGGTGTGCAGGCTACCATGCTAATGAGGTCCAGTATTTGACCACCACTCCTAGTTGAGCAAGTTTAACAGAAAACCTAAAACTAAACTTAAAATCTAAAAATTTGAGCAAATGCATAAAAAGCAGGCTCTTAAAATGGATCATAAATCTTGCATCACTTGCTGGAAAACCACTCAAAATACACATCTCTGAGACATGGCCTCTGAGGAGGGCACTCCATGTGGCTCGTATCACCCTGGTGACAAACCACGTGAACCTGGGTGGTCACCTGACCATATTGAACAGACGATGCACAGAGCCATTTGCATCCACTGTGGTCAACATTTAGGAAGTTTTAAGCTAAGATTTGCCAAATTGTAGCCTACTGGATTCCGGTTCTCTTGACATCTCTTTCTAGTAGCCATGTCTTGCACTTCCCGAGTATAAACGAACTGAGATGCAAATAAAAAAAAGGAGGATTTAAGAATAATGAAAAGAGAAAAATCAAGAAAGCACAATCACTAGTGTAGAGATAACAGAATTTCTGAATTCCCTGAAAACAATCTATATAAATGCATGTGAAATAATACACCAGCATCTGTGGCCCATACGTCACATATTAGGAACTGATAACATAAGGTAAACATGTTACTCTGAAAACACAAATCCTCACAAATCATTAGGCAGTAAGACTGAATCCAGCACCTCCCCCACCCACAGCGCAGTGAGGCAGTGTCTAGCAGCCGTAGTGCTCCCCGCGCCCCAGTTCAGTCTCTGGCAACATCAGATACTTCCCACTAATAACGAGGAGCCTTTCAACATTTTCACATCTCAAAACTGACCCCTTTTCTAGCTTAAATGGCACGGATCTGGAAAGGCAAACTATACTCAGAATCAGAAAAGATGACTGCCCCTGAGGGATTACAGAAAAAGCAGCAGTCAGGTGTTCAATGAAGTAAAATGTATCCAATGATAGCTCAGGGGAGGGGGATCAATTGAGCTGAAACTGGCAAGAACGTAACTCCAGGGAGCTCACAACACGCAAGGACCCGGATTTCCCGCTGCCTGAACGCCCACTATTCGCACACTGATAAGAACGCCTCCCCATAACTCCCCTGCCAGCGCCTCCAACACCCCCAATCCTTTCCCCAGGAACCCAGTCCCAGTTTCTGCAGTTCCTGTAACAGCCACGTTCCCACACAAGTGCTGCCTGAGCTCCCCAAGCCCTCCAACAATCACCCCCCAGTGCCCTCGAAGGTCTATTCAGAGAAGTCACCAAGATGCAGTCACCCAGGAAATTCAAGGACCCCCAACTTACCAAAAGGCTTTCGGCTGGACAGAGCTAACCTTCCTATTCCCCTCCTAAACCTACAACCTAGTTTTCATTTCTCAAGAAGCCTTTCCCTGTGCTCACGCACGCCGTTGTTAGCTGGCTCGGTGAGGCACTCCAAGCAGTAACAGCGGTAGCCACAGAATAAACCAGAAGCATCTCCACCATGAAGCAGTAATAATAATTTGCCCTAATGATTCCTTTGTCCTTGGAAAATCAACTTCAGAAAGAAAGTTATCCACTGTGAGCAGGGCAGGCTCGCGGCTTCTTGGTCCGGAGACCCAGGTCCCACTGGCCCACTCACCCTTGGAGAGAGCTTGCCGAAGCTGGGTGTCCGATATCACTCCACTCCTCTCTATCAACCCTATAACATCAAGAAGACCAAACAAGCTGGCGATCGAAAGTTCAGGAAAAGCAAAACAAACGTCTCCTGTCAACCCTGCACCGACTCTGGAAGGCTCCCTCCTGGAACCTCCGCCTCTCCGGTCCCGCTGACGAGTACAGCGGAATCAAGGAAGTGCCCCAGGAGCCACGTCCAAGTGTGTTCTTCCCCTAAGAGGCCAATCATCTTTCTCTCTCTTTTCCCACCTCAATCCTTCCCTTCCTTCCCCTCCTGACCTGTCTGAATTCCCATTTGCACCAGTTTCCCTTTTTCACAGACAAGACAAGATTCCCTCAGATAACTAAGCCATTCCCTGGCCATGAGTTACTACAGTTTCGGTCATTCATTCAGTGGAAAAGCGACCAGGGACAGAAGGCGCCGCCATAAAGGTCACCTGGCCCGAGCAGACGCCAGGTCGCTGCTTCTTCCTTGGCTGCTGACATTTTAACAGCGGCCCAGACAGTCTGTTTCCGCTTTCCCCAAACAAGCACCCTGGAGACCCTCCCCCGACGGCTCGAGGCGAGAAACGGGGCCTGGCCCAGGAGCCGGTGGCCGCGACCTCGGGTATGCAGTGGCGCCCTCTGCACCTTGGGAAGCGCCCGACGCACAGGACAGGGACCGGGCAGGAGGCAGGGGCGGCCCCAGGAGACCGGGCAGCGGACGGGGGAGACCGCGGGGGACCCGGAAGGGGATGGGGGCGGCCGCGGGGGTCGGGGCAGGGGATGGGGGCGGCCGCGTCGGTCGGGGTAGGGTTCGGGGGCGCCCGCGGGGGTCCGGGCAGGGGCGGTGGAGACGGCGGAGGTCGGGGCAGGGGACGGGGGAGGCCGCTGGGGACCCGGCAGGTGACGGGGGAGGCCGCGGGGCAACCGGCAGGGAACGGGGTTGGCCGCGGGGGTCGGGACACGGGTCCGGGGCAGCTGCGGGGGAGGCGGGAGGTGCCGGGGCGGTGCCAGGTGGCAGCTCTGGAAGACGTTCCACAGGAAGCTCTGGTCGGGCAGCGCCGCGCCCGCAGCAGGCCCAGGGCCGCCCAAGGCCGGGGCGGTAGGAGTAGGCGGCCAAGGGCCAAGGCGCGCGGCTGGGCTGAGGCGCGTGCGGCGACTGGCGACCTCAGAGCGACACCACTTCCGCCTCTGCCGGGGCAGGGCCAGGCGTTACCGCCGCTTCCGGGGGCGCAGGAAATGCGCGTTGTCCGAGATCCTCCGGCGCAGGCCACCTGCGCGCGGGGCCGGGAAGGCGCTTGGAGGAAATGTCCCGCGCCGCGACCCGGGACAGGCAGTGATGGAGCAGGGATTTCGTTTGCCTTTTAGTTCTTGTATAAAAAGAAGTTTTGACGTGAATGTGATTCACGCTAACAGTCGGAAACTCTGGGCGGGGCGCGGTAGCTCACACCTGGGATCCCTGCGCTTTGGGGGGCGGAGGCGGGCGGAGCTCTTGAGCCCAGCAGTGCGGACCAGCCTGGGCAGCGGGGCTAGACCCCATCCCTACAAAAATTACAGCAAGTAGTCGGGCGTGGTGGGCTCCTGTGGTCCCATGTACTCCGTGGGCTGAGGCGGGAGGATCGCCTGAGCCCGGGAGGTCGAGGCCGCAGGGAGCCGAGATCACTGCAGCTCCAGCCCGGTGGACAGCGAGACTCTGCAAAAAAAAAAAAAAAAAAAAAAAAAAGCAAGCAGGCCGGGTGCGGTGGCTGACGCGTGTAATCCCAGCACTTTGGGAGGCCGAGGCCGGTGGATCACCTGAAGTCAGGAGTTCGAGACCAACCTGGCCAATATGGAGAAACCCAGTATCTACTAAAAATACAAAATTAGCCGGGCGTGGTGGCGCACGCCTGTAATCCCAGCTACTCGGGACGCTGAGGCAGGAGAATTGCTTGAACCCGGGAGGCGGAGGTTGCGGTGAGCCGAGATCAGGCCATTGCACTCCAGGCCTGGGCAACAAGAGCAAAACTCCGTCTCAAAAAAAAAAAAAAGGGCAAAACACAATTCGGGTGGGAAGGGCAGTGTGCAGCGTTCTCCGTTGTCTGTTCTGCCCCGAAAAGCTTCCCCCCTTTAGGTTTAACCTGCGCCCCCGCGCTCTGCATCAGCGCCGCCCCCGACCCCGTGCAGTTGGAAACACTGGGCGCCTCCCTGCCGGGCCCCTTCCCGCCCCTGTGGTGGTGCAGCCCTGCCTCCCGCAAGACAGCACTGCCTTCGTGCTGGACACAGTTCTACCGTGGAGCCTGGAGTGCCTGTAGCACAAATCCCCAGAATTGGGAAGTGCCCAGCTTTGGGCCACTGTGATCCCTGGGTCTTTCCTGTGCGCGTAGTCTCATGCCGCCTTCCACCCTAGTCCTGTGTCCTGTGCCCCGGTTCAGGATACTACAATTATTCTCATTATTTCATGGGGTTATTCCAGCTTTTCAGGTTCTTCAGTGCCTCATTCCATGAATGCTAACTTTTTTCATCCTCATAGTTCCTAGGGTTGTCTCTGAATTTTCACCCAGTTGCCTACCAAGATGTTGTCTGTGTCTACTGCAGGGGACGGTGCAGGTCTGAATATCTTACAGCTCACCTTTTTGGTGCCTTTGATCCGTGTTAGAAATTATCCACATCTTCTCTCTGGGCAATATTCTACTTTTTATATTGACCCAATTATTTTACTTCTTTGGTGTGTCTTTTCTCCTAACACATATGGGTTCACTTTGAAACCTTGAAACCCACATTTACAAAAACATTTTCAATATGAAGCATTGTTCCATGACTCTTTACTGGAGTACCATCAACATTTACATTTCCAGACCACCCACTGCCCAGTGGTTTTCTTGGTCTCAGTACTCATGAAAACGGTCTGAAGGTTTGTTTTGGGTTCCTAAGTAGTAGACACACGCACAACATTGCCTGTCAGTTATTTCTTGGAAACTAAATCAGCCCTTCTGTTGCCATCCTATCATGCTTCAGGGGTGCCTGTGCTAGTTTTTAATTATTTGTCCTAACACTTAAATGTTTGCTCAAACGCCCATATTAATACTTCCTCTGAGTTTACAAAAGGATTTACTTTCTTACTGGTTGGGATGAAGCTGCCTGAGGTTGCCACCTGTTATTTTTCCTTCATTTATTGGACCATGTCATCCCATTACATGTCAGCCGTGGAGGTTTTCAAACTGTGGTCCCTGGACATGTTAGAAATGCAAATTCTCAGGCCGAACCAGGACTGAATAGGAAGATCTGGGGTAGGGTCCCTCCAGGACTGAATCGGAAGATCTGGGGTGGGGTCCCCCAGGACTGAATCAGAATATCATGGGTGGGGTCCCCCCCAGGACTGAATCAGAAGATCGGGGATGGGGTCCCCTCCAGGACTGAATCGGAAGGTATGGGGTGGGGTCCCCCCAGGACTGAATCGGAAGATCTGGGGTGGGGTTCCCCCAGGACTGAATTGCAAGATCATGGGTGGGGTCCCCCAGCACTGAATCAGGAAATCTGGGGTAGGGTCCCCCCAGGACTGAATCGGAAGGTCATGGGTGGGGACCCTCAGGACTGAATCAGAAGATCTGGGGTAGCGTCCCCCCAGGACTGAATCGGAAGATCTGGGGTGGGGTCCCCCCAGGACTCAATTGCAAGATCATGGGTGGGGTCCCCCAGGACTGAATCAGGAAATCTGGGGTAGGGTCCCCCCAGGACTGAATCGGAAGGTCATGGGTGGGGACCCTCAGGACTGAATCGGAAGATCTGGGGTAGCATCCCCCCAGGACTGAATCGGAAGATCTGGGGTAGGGTCCCCCCAGGACTGAATCGGAAGATCTGGGGTAGGGTCCCCCCAGGACTGAATCGGAAGATCTGGGGTAGCGTCCACCCAGGACTGAATAGAAAGATCTGGGGTGGGGTCCCCCAGGACTGAATCGGAAGATCTGGGGTAGGGTCCCTACAGGACAAAATCGGAAGATCTGGGGTAGGGTCCCCCCAGGACTGAATCGGAAGATCTGGGGTGGGGTCCCCCAGGACTGAATCAGATCACGGGTGGGGTCCCGCCAGGACTGAATCGGAAGATCTAGGGTAGGGTCCCCCCAGGACTGAATCGGAAGGTCTGGGGTAGGGTCCCTCCAGGTGATCCTGTTACACAGGTTAGAGAACCACGGCATTAGGGGTGGGAATTTGACAATTCTTTTTTTTTTTTTTTTTTTTTTGAGACAGAGTCTCGCTCTTGTTGCCCAGGCTACAGTGCAGTGGCGCACTCTTGGCTCACTGCAACCTCCATCTCCCAGGTTCAAGCAACTCTCCTGCCTCAGCCTCTCGAGTAACTGGGATTACAGGCACCCACCATCATGCCTGGTTAATTTTTTGTATTTTTAGAGATGGGGTTTCACTATGTTGGTCAGGCTGAGACAATTCTTAAACTGTCATTCTTTACTCACTTATTTGCAGGAATTCTTATGTAAAGAACTTTCCCTAATCAACAAGGTTTCCCTGAATTGCAATTTGTAGAGAAAAGACAGGATAATTGCTGATCTTCCTTCAAGTGTCCATTCCCAGTGTTAGGAGTTAGTGCCCTAGGTACCTCCAAGAGTGACCAATTACATGTGTTTGGTTGGTTTTGGCTTTGAAACCACCACTATGAATTCATGGTTTTCATGTATTAGAGACCACTTTCTAGGTGCTTGATGTGTCTACTGCTACTGGGGCAGAGGTAGAAAATGTGTATACGGTAAAAGAACAACAAATGAGTTCACGCTTATATTTCTATTTCAAATTTAGTATACGGTTTTACACCTTTTTCTCAGAAAAATCTTGTTTTATTTTTTGAGATAGAGTTTTGTTCCTGTTGCCCAGGCTGGAGTGCAGTGGCACAATCTCGGCTCACTGCAATCTCTGCCTCCTGTTTCAAGCGATTCTCCTGCTTCAGCCTCCCCAACAGCTGGGATTACAGGCACCTGCCACCATGCCCAGCTAATTTTTCAATTTTAGTAGAGATGGCGTTTCACCATGTTGGCCAGGCTGGTCTCAAACTCCTGACCTCAGGTCATCTGCCCACCTCGGCCTCCCAAAGTGCTGGGACTTGGGAGGATTTTCCCTTGCCAGAAAAATCTTAGTTTTAGCATTAACATAATTAGTTATTAGCTTTAACTCCCACCCCACATAATTTCAAAGGATTAATACCAATAAGACGAGTAATGGAGATGATTGATTGAAATTTAGGATTCAGTGGCTCTATTTGTCTTTAGACTATGGCTCACTAAATCTGCACACTTGAAGTGCTGTGTTCTAGCGATCCTCTGATGACACATGAGGTAATAGGCTGCGTGACTGTCACCAGCCTGATGTGCAGTTGGGCTGCAGAACCCCGTGATGCTGCCTAGCCCAGCCAGCCCCAGGTCACTCCTCAGACTCAAACTCGATTCTGACACCACCAGCACCTGGGACGCTGCCTAGGGGCTTTCTCTGGTGGCAGGAGCACGTCCTGGAGCAGGCCAGGGGTGCCCGGAATTGACCATCCTAAACCTGTGGAGTGTGGGCTGGTGAAGGAACACACCAGCTCCCACAGTGAGCACGGGCCCAGCTGCCCACATGGGACCCAGCTCCCGGACGCCGCATGCCACCGCCTCTTTCCTGTCTCACCTCCCACTTCCCTTCAGCTGCTGCTCAGGGCCACCTTCCAAATTTTGGTCTCACGGTTGGAGCCTGTAGAATGCAATCCAAGGAATTTAGATTCATTCATTTCAGATACCATTCTTTCAATTTTAGGGACTATCTTAAAAACTTAGTTTGGTAATATGTAAAACACTTAACAATTTCAAAGTCCAGATATTACTTCAGAGTCTATTTCGGTCTCACTTCCACCACTGACCCCTATCCTCCACAGCAACCACTTTAGACTTTTATCTTTGTACTGTTTTAAGAAAAAGCAATATATATTTGCATCATATGATATGTACTCTGCCCCTTATCAATAGGCGTTCCTCATTCCTCCTTCTGGTACGGAGTTCCCCACTGCACGAATTAATGTTCCCAATCCCCTACTGATGGACATTTTGATTGTTTCCAGTTTTACAAATGCCACAGTGAAGAACTTTGTGGCAAACACATTCAGGCTGTGAAAAGAACTCTGTGGGTAAAGTCCTTTCATTTCTTTGCCAGAGTTTTTTTTGAGGCAGATTCTAGAATTGCTGAGTCTAAGGGCAAATGCCATGTCATTTTGTTAGATGCTGCCAAATCCTCTTCCATGAGGCTGCAACGTTCTGCATTCCACAGTGACTATGAGAGTCCTTGTACCCCACAGCTTCATAAACAAAGCATGACAGCAAACCTGCACGTTTACCCATCACACAGTTGAGAAATTTTATCTACTTTCACCTTTTTTTTTGGTTAGCATTTTTATTCCCAGCTTTTTTGTGGTATAATGCGCAGAAGGTAATGAACACATTCTACCTGCAAGCTTCTTCCTGTGCCTTTGGAATCTGCTCCTGCCAGTCTGCAGGGAACCACGGATCTGCTTTCCGTCACGTAGGAGGCATTCTCGACACCCTCTGTACACAGCATGCGCTTTATTTGGCTTCTCTTACGCAGCGTAGTGACTTTCAGATTTATTCAAGCTGCTGCGTGCGCCAACAGTCCACTCCTTCCTAGTGCTGAGGCCCCCATCACATGAGCACAACTGTTTCTTGTGTGTGATGTGTTGTTCTCTGGCTGTGCACTGCCAAAAAAGACATCATTAAAAAAAATTTAAATATAATGTAAGACCTGCCTTGTCTTAGGAAACGTTTTTCTGGCAGTGGCTCACACCTATAATCCCAATACTCTGGGAGGCTGAGGCAGGAGGACTGCTTGAGCCCAGGAGTTTGGGACCAGCCTGGGCAAGAGGGTGAAACCCTGTCTCTAAAAATTAGCCAGGCATGGTGGCTCACACCTGTAGTCTCAGCTCTTAGGGAGGTTGAGGTGGGAGGACTGCTGGAGCCCAGGAGGTGGAGGCTGCAGTGAGCCGAGATCACACCACTGCACTCCAGCCTGGGCAGCATGGCAAAACTCTGTCTCTACCAAGAAAAAAACAAAAAATTAACAGAAGGAAAAACAAAAGGGCTTTCTTATCAAAAATACACTTTAAGGAACAAATTTATCATATTAAGTTGGTGCAAAAGTAATCGTGGCTTTTACCATTGAAAGCAATAGCAAAAACCGCAATTACTTTTGCACCAACCTAATATTATTTTCTAATGACAAACTTGGAAATAACTGTCATTGTTCTCTAAAAAGAACAGCCTAAAAATAAAGCAGCAGCCCATTTACTTCTATGCCAGTTCTTTTAGCATTTGGTTATTTAAACCGGCAGTCCCTAACCTTTTTGGCACCAGGGACTGGTTTCACGGAAGACACTTTTTCCACTGACAAGTGTGGGGATGGTTTGGAGACGAAACGGTTCCATCTCAGATCATCAGTATTAGATTCTCATAAGCGGGGCATAACCTAGATCCTTCGCATGCGCAGTTCACGACAGGATTCCACTCCTATGAGAATCTAATGCCACCACTGATCTGACAGGAGGCGAGGCTCACACAGCAATGATATGACAGGGGGCGGAGCTCACACAGCAATGATATGACAGGGGGCGGAGCTCACACAGTAATGATATGACAGGGGGCGGAGCTCACACAGTAATGATATGACGGGGGCGGAGCTCACACAGTAATGCTCTGGCAGGGGGCAGAGCTCACAGTAATGCTCTGACGGGGGCGGAGCTCACACAGTAATGATGACGGGGGCGGAGCTCACACAGTATTGATGACAGGGGGCAGAGCTCACAGTAATGCTCTGGCAGGGGGGCGGAGCTCACACAGTAATGCTCTGGCAGGGGGCGGAGCTCACAGTAATGCTCTGACGGGGGCGGAGCTCACACAGTAATGATGATGGGGGCGGAGCTCACACAGTAATGATGACAGGGGGCAGAGCTCACAGTAATGCTCTGGCAGGGGGCGGAGCTCACAGTAATGCTCTGGCAGGGGGCGGAGCTCAGTAATGATCTGATGGGGGCAGGGCTCACACAGTAATGCTGACAATGGGTGGAGCTCACACAGTAATGCTCTGGCAGGGGGCGGAGCTCACAGTAATGCTCTGGCAGGGGGCGGAGCTCACACAGTAATGCTCCGGCCGGGGGAGGAGCTCACACAGTAATGATATGACAGGGGGCGGAGCTCACACAGTAATGATATGACAGGGGGTGGAGCTCACACAGTAATGATATGACGGGGCGGAGCTCACATAGTAATGATCACAGGGGGCGGAGCTCACACAGTAATGCTCTGCCAGGGGGCGGAGCTCACACAGTAATGCTCTGGCAGGGGACGGAGCTCACACAGTAATACTCTGGCAGGGGACGGAGCTCACACAGTAATGCTCTGGCAGGGGGCGGAGCTCAGTAATGTTCTGGCAGGGGGCGGAGCTCACACAGTAATGCTCTGACAGGGGGCGGAGCTCACACAGTAATGCTCTGACAGGGGGCGGAGCTCACAGTAATGCTCTGACAGGGGGCGGAGCTCACACAGTAATGCTCTGACAGGGGGCGGAGCTCACACAGTAATGCTCTGACAGGGGGCGGAGCTCACACAGTAATGCTCTGGCAGGGGGTGGAGCTCACAGTAATGCTCTGGCAGGGGGCGGAGCGCACACAGTAATGCTCTGACAGGGGGCGGAGCTCACACAGTAATGCTCTGACGGGGCGGAGCTCACACAGTAATGCTCTGGCAGGGGGTGCAGCTCACAGTAATGCTCTGGCAGGGGGCGGAGCTCACACAGTAATGCTCTGACATGGGGTGGAGCTCACACAGTAATCTCTGGCAGGGGGTGGAGCTCACAGTAATGCTCTGACAGGGGGCGGAGCTCACACAGTAATGCTCTGACGGGGCGGAGCTCACACAGTAATGCTCTGGCAGGGGGCGGAGCTCACACAGTAATGCTCTGGCAGGGGGCGGAGCTCACACAGTAATGCTCTGGCAGGGGGCGGAGCTCACAGTAATGCTCTGGCAGGGGGCGGAGCTCACACAGTAATGCTCTGGCAGGGGGCGGAGCTCACAGTAATGCTCTGGCAGGGGGCCGAGCTCACACAGTAATGCTCACTGGCTGGCTGCTCACCTCCTACTGTGTGGCCTGGTTCCTAACAGGCCATGGACTGGTAACGATCTGTGGCCTGGGGACTGGGGACCCTGATTTAAAGAATCGAGGACACACTCACCTAGCAAACCATCTGCCAAGAAAAAGGAGGAAAAGCACCAACATTAATTTGAACTTAGAAATAAACTACAATAAGGCCAGACATGGTGGTTCACACCTATAATTCCAGCACTTCGGGAGGCCAAGGAGGAACGATCACTTGAGCCCAGCAGTTTGAGACCAGCCTAGGCAACACAGTGAGACCCTGTCCCTACAATTACAAAATAAATGAGCTGGGCGTGGTGGTGCACACCTGTAGCCCCAACTGCTCAGAAGGCTGAGTCGGGAAGATCACCTGAGCTGCCCAGGAGTTTGAGGCTGCAGTGAGCTGAGACTGCACCACTGCACTGATCCTGTCTCAAAAAAAAAAAAAAAAAAGAAACTACAACAAAATATCTGGATTTTGATGTAACAGAATACAAAGATAATTACATTTGATTTTTAGGTCAACAAATATGACTAAAGTCACAACAGTAAAATATTTTAAATGGATTTGGAAATAAAAGAAAGTTTGTTCATTTATATTTTATTTAAGAGCTGTGCCCAGTTTTATCTTGTCACAAGAATGAAGCAAGGGACAAAGTGCCACGCTCCCCGGCCACTGGGTGCCAATCCCCCTTCAATGTACTCCTTCTTCCCCAGAGTGCAGAAGCGTATAAAGACAGTTATGACATTGACACATGCATGAGCTATTATACATAATTACAAAAGCTGATTCTGTCATCACCGCATCTTGTCTCATCAGTAGGAGTGAATGGCTGGGGGGACAGTGGCACAGTCAGCCTCATTCAAAGTTTTGTCGATTATGGGTCTATATTCCACAGTGACCTTGAAAAGAAGTCAGTGGTAAGTTAAGCACAAAAATGTACAAAAAGCCATCTCTTGTGTTCCTTTTGAAAAATTTTAACTATAAAAGTAGATTTACGGCATGTAAACTTTAAGGTATTTGCTGCAGTATTTTCCAATAACAAATTCAAAAATGATCTACATGCGCAACAGGGGACTGTAAATGACGGCAGATCGGTAGAGTGGAACAGAGCAACGAAAATGACACTGTACCAGATTCTCAGTGCTTTGCTTTACAAAAATGCTCCCATCATGAAAAGTGGGAGAACCCTTGTCTATACCAAGACACTTCATGTTTAAACTATCTACTTCCAGTTTTTCTACTTCAAAGTAAATATTTATATAGGTAGAACATCCCTAATCCAAACATCTGAAATTCTCCCAAATCTGAAACTTTCTGAGCACCAGCATGACATTCAAAAGAAATGTGCTATGGAGTCAGATCTTCCCATTAGGGATGCTCAGACAGTAAGTGTAATGCAAATATTCCAAAGTCTGAACAAGCCTGAAATCCAAAACACTTCTGGTCCCAACGATTTCAGAGAAGGAATACTCAAGCCGTGTATTAAATATGCACACACAGGAAAAGGTAGGCACATATACAAAGAAATTTAAACCATAATGGGTCATCTCTGGTTAGTGAGCTCTTATTTCAATCTCTTTGTACTTTCTAAAATGAGTACGTATTTCTTGAAAAATCACTGAAACTGGCTGGGCGTGTTGGTTCATGCCTGTTGGGGAGGCCAAGACAGGTGGATCACTTGAGCTCAGGAGCTCAAGACTAGCCTGGGCAACGTGGCAAAACCCCGTCTCTACAAAACATACAAAAATTAGCCAGGCATGGTGGCATGTGCCCGGGAGGCTGAGGTGGGAGGATCACCTGAGCCGAGGGGAGGTTGAGGCTGCAGTGAGACGAGATCGAGCCACCACATTTCAGCCTGGGCAAAAGAGATGAGACTCTATCTCAGAACAACAAAAACAAAACAAAAAACCTGAACCCGGAAACATTAAAAATAGACTTGTGCTAAGCAAGTGTGACCTCTCTATACTATCAGGAAATGGCCTTCATGATAAATTCTGAAAATGACCTACTGCCTGAATCACAGACACACTAGATGATAGTGAGAGTCCAAAGGTAACTTCCACAGACACAGCTAAGTGATTATACGACTCTCCCTTACAAGTTATGAAAAGCTTAAGGGTAAAAGCTTTCTATCTTCATGATTTCTGAATCTCAATGCCCAGCGGAAATGCCACACGGGTGAACTGTGCTTGTGTGGAACAAGCTGCAACCCCCCTACCACACCCTCGGCTGGCTGTTCCCAAGACGCTGTGCTTGTGTGGAACAAGCTGCAACCCCCTACCACATCCTCGGCTGGCTGTTCCCAGGACGCTGTGCTTGTGTGGAACAAGCTGCAACCCCCCTACCACACCCTCGGCTAGCTGTTCCCAGGACGCTGCTCACCCCAACCCCGCCTCCATTTCTGCCCTTCTCTGCTTGCTCAGTGCCCAGGGGATGCTAAGGGCTGCACCTCATCCCCTCTGCTCCCCTGCAGATGCTTCCAGTTGGCCCAGCCCATGGGAGGAGAGGGGAGGGATCTCTTCTGGGCTCCCTTGGCTCGGGACTGGTTTCTGGTAGTGGCTGTGTCCCCACTACACAGATGCTTTCTCGCTAGGTCCATAATCATCATCTCTTCCCCTGCCACCAGGCCTTGGACACTTGCTCCTGCCCAGTGACGTCCATCTGGCCCACACCACAGAGCAACCCTTCCTTAAGGCTCCTCTGAACCACCTGCAGGCACTGGATTCTGTTTCCAGCCCGAAGCCCAACTGCTGTCAGAGTGCCTTTTTCAGCGGTGCCTCAAATCTGTCGGGAGGTGATTTAAATCTGGCCTGCTCCTCTGCGTTCACCATCAGCAAGGCCAGCCCGCAGACCTGGGCGGGGCCGTGTGGGTGCTGGGCTGTGGTGAGAACGAGCTCCACACTGACCTTCCCAGTGCTGACGTCCACATAGGACAGGGTGTGCTTCCTCCAGTGCTCCTCAAAGGGCTTCTTCTGTTGCCCCTGGATGGGCTTGGAGTGATCGTACTCATCAATCCGCACCTGAGCCCAGAAACACCATCACATTTCTCATTACTCTAACAGAGCAATACAGAAAAAACACAGCAAACGTTAAAATGATCTAAGAGACAGATGCCCTAGAACCCATTCCATTTCCACTTCAGCCCAGGAGGTTGGCACCATCAACACGTTCAGAACGCACAGAGGCCACATGGCTGGCCAGCAATGTGCAGCCAGCAGTGAGTCCAGAGTAATCCATGTCCGCATGTTCCCTTAGACATCCTTTATGTACCTAAGAGTTTATCAAATACTTTGTCTTTTTGCTCCAAGCGCTGGGAGACTACCTCAATCCTTTCTTTCAGCCTGTTTTTATTAAAAACACTTTTTTTTTCTTTTGAGACAGGGTCTCGCTATGTCACCTGGGCTGGAGCGTAATGGTGTGATCACAGCTCGCCAGAGCCTTGACTTCCCGGGCTCAATCAATCATCCTGCCTCAGCCTCCTGAGCAGCTGGTACCTCAGGTGTGTACCACCACGCCTGGCTAATTTTTTAATTTTTGTAGAGACAGGTTTCGCCATGTTGCCCAGGCTGGTCTAGAACTCCGGGGCTCAAGTGATCTGCCTGCCTCAGCCTCCCAAATGCTGGGATTACAGGTGGGAGCCACTGCATCTGGCTTCTATTCTAATTAAAACTCGTTGTCACCAACTAAATTTATGCTCCTGGACAGGCACAGTGGCTCATGCCTGTAATCCTAGCACTTTGGAAGGCCAAGGTGGGTGGTTCACTTGAGGTCGGGAGTTCGAGACCAGCCCGGCCAACATGGTGAAACCCCATCTCCACTGAAAATACAAAATTAGCCAGGCACGGTGGCATGCGCCTGTAACCCCAGCTGCTTGGGAGGCTGAGGCAGGAGAATCACTTGAACCTGGGAGGCAGAGGTTGCAGTGAGCTGAGATCGCAACACTGCACTCTAGCCTGGGGGACAGTCAGACTCCATCTCAAAAAATTAAAAATCATAAATTTATTATTATTCTGTATTCTGGCAAACACGGATTCATATACTTTGCAGGAAAGACTCTTAATATGTATGAGGAGACGAGCAAATTCTGAGCAGTGATCACAGCCATCAGCATATTCTAGTGGAGGGTAAATCAGTAAAATTTCATGGTGAATAAAAATGATTTTCCCATTCACTGTGTTCAGCTGACTGGAAAGGCTGCCACCAGCCGCCCACACATGGCCCTGAACCAGCCTGTGCGCCTGCCTTGTGGAGCCTTTGTCCTTTTGCTGATGTGGTTTATGCTGAACTTGCATTTGCACCCCAAGCTTCCCTTTCCGTCGTTTTTTGCTATCATATGTGAAAAACTCTTACCAGGCAGAATCCAACACGTGTGCTCTGCACAAAAATCAGTTCATCTGAAGAACAAGTGACCACAGGGCAGGCTCCGTAATCAAACCACAGGACAGGCTCTATAATACCTTTTCCAAACCACAGGACAGGTTGGAAACAGTGGCTTACTCGTTATTTAGTAAACTGGCATTTCCTCCACAGGGCAGGTCTGAAACGGTGACTTACTTGTTATTTAATAAACTGGCATTTCCTCCACAGGGCAGGCTTGAAATGGTGGCTTACTCGTTATTTAATAAACTGGCATTTCCTCCACAGGGCAGGCTTGAAACGGTGGCTTACTCGTTATTTAATAAACTGGCATTTATTTCCTGGTCATGCCACGCTGGCTGCACTTCTAACCTTGGCCTTCTAACAGCAAAGCACATTGGCTTGGAGATGCCACTGCTGGCATCAGTGGATGCCGACCCAAAGCAAGGAACAGGTCACAGTGATCCAGAAAATGGCGAGAACCCAGGGATCAAAGTTACCAGAGGGAAAAAGGCATTTTTTGGATATACTTTTGGGGAAACGACATAAAATGCAGAGAAAATGCAGGGGTGGGGCTGAGTCCCACCAGGCGGGAGGAAAAGGCAGGTGCAGGTGGGCGTGGCGAGAAGGCGCACCTTGTAGTCTTCCCCGGCGTGCGCGCCCCGTGACTCCTTCCCCGCCTCTGCTCCATTGACGGTCTGCAGCGCACATAGCATCAGGTTCTGCAGCTCCAGGGTCTCCACCAGGTCCGTGTTCCAGACCATTCCTGGGGACACAAAAAGTTCCATCAGGGGCAGGTGGGACCCAGTCACACGGGCCCTCCGAGCTGTCAGCCTGGGCCTGCTAGTCCATGGAGTCACTGGTTGTGGCTTTACAGCTGGGGGCCAGCACCCATCCAGACAGCAAGCATGGAACTAAGTCAGCACTGACGGGACAGACACCAGCCCACCCTGCAGAAGGCAGGGCCCAACAGTGTGCACAGAGCCCACTGTCTGCTCACCCCGGTCAAACGTCTTCAGATGCTTCAGGTCTCCATAGAGCTTGCTGATTTTCCCACAACCTTCTTGCAACAAGCTTCCCACACGGAACACGGCAGCATGATTTTGCGTTGACTGTGGCACAAAATATTATTTGTAAACTTTTAATTCATAGAAGCAGCCATACCAAGAACTGCTTAACTTTTAGACCTGTTGTTTTGCATTTCATTTTATTTATGTAAATTAAACAGAAAAATTAGGAAATTTAGACTATGAGTTTATTACTCTGAACTTAAAAATGAAGTCTTGACTAAAGCTTCTGAATAAATGTTTCTATTATATACATATCTTAGACCCACACACATCCTTTCCAGCGGGATACAGCCAGGATCCAGGACGCCAAGCAGACTGCCTGTGAGGCACCATGTTCCATACGGCTCCACGGCCAACCAGGCAGCGCTGCCTCCCCACACCCCTGGCGGGACTCCTGATGTGGGGTCTGGTGGTGAACGTGACACGAGCCAGCAGCCCTGTGGTGATACACACAAGGAGGAACTGAGCAGAGCCCTGCTGATGGTGGGGTTGGAACCGAAGGTCTTCAAGGAGAGGGAGGGGCGTGGGTGGCTGGGGCCCTTGGCCCATCTGGCTACTGTCTTCTGCCTATTTTGTAGAAGCTCCTTGTACACTGAGTTCCTTCATAGTTTTACTATCACGAGAAACGTGCTGGGAGTGGACCTGAAGTTTACTTAGGTATGCTGGGAACTGGGCATCAGCTTTTGCTTCCTGTGGGACACACAGGCACCACCTCCGTGATCCCTCCTCCTCCTTGCTTCTCCCTCTAACTGTGCTTTGCTCCACTGACCCTAATTGTCTCTTCCTCTACCAATGCACCTTCATGGTTCAATTTGGACATTTCATCTGATTTTCCTTAGACTCATACATAATCGTAACACTGTAATGCACATCAACCTAACGGTTTTTCAGGAAGAACAAATGAAAAAAATTGCATCTCAGAATCTAGTATTACATTCTTTCATGTCCTTCAGCAGCGACGTTTTCGTATCATCTTTTCGTATTTCTGGTTACATTATTTCAAGGCATTTTAAATTTTTTGTTTGAAATGCGAATGAGATATTTACTGATGTCTGAGCAGATTACTGCTGGCACATTGCAAAGCTACTGATTTTTACATACAAATCTCTTATCCACATACCTTACTACATTCTTGTTTTGTTTCTGTTAGTTTTTCCATTTATTCTCTGGAAATTTTTTGGAAATTATATCTGTAAATAATGGAAACTGTATCTATTCCTTTTCAATATTTACTGCCAAGACCAGCTGGGTCATGGAAACCCTAACCCAGTGGCACTAGAGGAAGTAAAGACACACACACAGAAATATAGAGTGTGGAGTGGGAAATCAGGGGTCTCACAGCCTTCAGAGCCAAAAGCCTCAAACAGAGATTTACCCATGTATTTATTGACAGCAAGCCAGTGATAAGACTTACTGAAAGTATTCCTTACAGGAAATAAAGGGATGGGTCTGGCTAGTTATCTGCAGCAGGAGCATGTCCTTAAGGCACAGAGCGCTCATGCTATTGTTTGTGGTTTAAGAACGTCTTAAGAGGTTTTCCGCTCTGGGTGGGCTAGGTGTTCCTTGCCCTCATTACGGTAAACCCATAACCTTCCAGCGTGGGCGTCCTGGCCATCACGAGCATGTCACATGCTGCAGAGATTTTGTTTATGGCCAGTTTATGGCCACATTTGGGGGCCTGTTTCTAACAATTTACCTCATTTCTTTTTTTGATTGTTACTATTAATAGCCAGAGTCAGCAGAAAAATCCCTTCCCCCAACGAAATGCATTTCCGCAAGCATAGGAAGCTCTGTTTGTTCAGTGCTGACTCCGGCACCTCACGGAGCCTGGGATACAGCAGGCACCAAGACACACCTTGTTTGGTGGGAACACTTCTAGTATTCTCACTTCAAACTATCTCAGATTTGCCATTTCTATATCCTAAGGCATGTTCCCATTCTCTAACGCAAGGGTTCCTTCTTTCCCAGCTGGCCTCCAACCCTACAAAAGCACTGCAGGGCATCACTCAGCCTTCTGTGCCTTAGTCACGCTGTTCTTCTCACCGTTCCACAAAGCCTCCCTCAAGCCCAGCCTCACCTGAAGACCGAAGGGCACGGGCCTCTGAAAATGTCAGCAGGGAACCTGTTCTCTTGTGTCTAACACCAAATGCCTTTCAGAATAGGACTAAAGCAGTGGACTTCTTCCTAGAAAATACGCAGCAATTCTTGCAAATAGTAGACAAGAGATTCTCATTCATGGACAAGAATCCTTGTTATTAGAGGAATTCAGTTTCTTAGACTGACTATATATCAGGTTCTCCACGGCCCCATGGCTAATGGCTGCCATACTGGACGGCAGTCAACATTTCCATCATCACAGACGGTCCTACTGGACCGACTCCCAGCAGCACAGGCCACACAGATCACTGTCCACCGGCCGCCCACTCTCCCTCTCTGCTGAGTATATTTAGGGGCAGCAACAGGTCCAGCTTAAAGACGTTTCCGAGCTGCTGGAAGCCAGGCATGAAGACATGATCAATATCTGGGCCTGAGATGTAAGCACCAGTCTTGTGTTGAACTCCAGGAAACCTCTAAGAGAAAGCTGCCCTGCTGGGGACGGAGCTTCTCCGGTGGTCCTG